>NC_000001.11:207578526-207730041 GCF_000001405.40 Homo sapiens
GCTAAGCACTTTATATGCATTTTCTCATTCATTATTTACAACAACACTTTGAAATTGTGCTATTGTATTATCCATTTAATAGTGACATCAGCTTGATCTTTCAGAGGTTAAATAAATTAGCTAAGTCACATGTTCTAAGCGAGACACCCAGGATTTTAAAATGCAAGTGTATCAGACCCCAGAGTCTGAATGTTTTGGCTCTTGCCATACTTTCATCAGTATCCATTGCTGAAAGAAAGAGACTGGCTTACAAAGACAGAAATCATAGCCTCAGAATAGACAAAGACCTTAGAGTTTGTCTATAATGGTCTGCCTCCTACATTTTATTTTGATTTTATTTTATTTAAAAACTATTTATTAGAGTTGATGTCCCACTCTGTTGCCCAGGCTGAAGTACAGTGATACAATCATGGCTCACTGCAGCCTCAGATTCCTAGGCTCAAGCCATCCACGTCCTACATTTTATCCCTAGGAGTCTAAGTCAAGAGTGAAAGTAACTTGTTCAAAGTCAGTTAAATATTTCTAAATTCATGTTTAATGAGGTATAGATTAGGTTGATGTTAAAATGGGTTCTGATGCCCTAAGCATGAACGAACAGGACTATAAATAAAGGCAGATGTTGAGTCAAATACTCTCCAAATAATATGCCCTCTCGTGACAAAGGACTGTCTTATTTAATGGCTTGTGTTTTTGATGGCTCATCTTGTCTACTGATGCCACAATAGCTGGCTTAGCAGCTGTGTAGGAGGTGTTATGGTTGATACATAGGGACAGAGAAGGAGCTTACGATTCTTCTACCAACCCATGTTAGCCTTGTGCAACCACTGAGCTGGGAAGATGAACAGATAAAGGGATATAAAGACGGATGTACTGAGGCAGGAGATGGGCAGGGCTTGTGTTCTGGTCACAATCCTGCTGACCAAAACAGGCTCTGGCCCAGACAGGATGAAGTGAAAAAACAGCAGGAACCAGCAGATGGCGATGAAAGCAATTGCTAGCTGCCCTCATAGTCCCATCAGCACCATGACAGTTTACAAATGCCATGGCAACGACCTAGAAGTTACCGCCCCTTTCCTGGAAAGTTCTAAATAACTCGCCCCTCAATCTGCATTGATCCACTCCTTAATTTACATGTAACTGAAATGGGTTTACAGCAGTATAAACACAGTTGCCTGCCAGGAACCCTTATGTTGCTGACTCTGGGTGTGCTGCCTGTGAGTTAGCCCTGCTCTGCAAGAAGCAGTGCCTTTCACTAACAGATTGCTGTCTAGCACCACTGGCTCATCCTTGAATTCTGTCCTGGATGAGGCAAGAACCCTTCCAGAGTAAGCCCCAATTTAGGGGCATGCCTGTCCCGAAACAGTATGACTGTACTTTAGTCATTGGTGTGCAATCAGAGAAATTGGGGGAAATCTGTAAAACAGATTTGGTCTCAGGTGACAGTCTCATTACCTGAATAACAATGGTACAAATCGGGATTACCTTCCTAGGAAATATGTAGATGGAGAATCCACCAATACTGATAACTTCACATTGGATAGCCAGAGCTAGGAGAAAATACCTCATGCCCTGTAGATTTACAAGTGAATTTGGGGCCTTGTGCTAGGGAGAATTGGGTTCTATTTCTCTACCTCTGACTAGCTATGAGGTCTTCAGGAAGCATAGGAAATTCCCCCATAACTAACAAGTACTCTGGAACTGTCCTTTCCACAGTGTGTCAGCCGCCTCCAGAAATCCTGCATGGTGAGCATACCCCAAGCCATCAGGACAACTTTTCACCTGGGCAGGAAGTGTTCTACAGCTGTGAGCCTGGCTATGACCTCAGAGGGGCTGCGTCTCTGCACTGCACACCCCAGGGAGACTGGAGCCCTGAAGCCCCGAGATGTGCAGGTGCCTCAACTCTCTGGCTTCCAGATTTCTCTCTTTACCCCACACATGGAGGTCTTACTCCTATTTTTTCTTTTTTTTTTTTTTCTTCTTCTAGTGAAATCCTGTGATGACTTCTTGGGTCAACTCCCTCATGGCCGTGTGCTATTTCCACTTAATCTCCAGCTTGGGGCAAAGGTGTCCTTTGTCTGTGATGAAGGGTAAGTGTGACCCAGAATTCAGATCAGGGACTCAGCACTGCAGAGTGACTCTTGAGCTTAAGGATCAATCCAAAAAGAGGGCTGACCTAGGAGAAGAAGAATCCAGGGAGATTAACCTCTGGAAGTGTAGCTTTAAAATAAAGGTAGGGACTAAGTGGCACTACTATCAGGAGATAAAGAGATAAAGAAAAAATGGCGCATATAACTGAGTGTCAAGTACAAACAGAAATACAGTCACCAGTCCAGAAAAGGGGACCAACCTGGTGGAAAAGAAGTACTAGAGGAGACTAATATCTGAAACAATGATTGGAAAGTGTGGTATGAACCAGCTGGATCCATGAACAGAAGTTTAAAAAGCAAAAAGCTCAACTCATTTGATTTCTCACTTATAGAGGCTCAGAAGTAAAATCATTTTGGAAAACGTGCAGCTTCCAGTAAGGCACAAAGGAAAAACAATGGCCGAAATACAAAAGATCTTGAAAAAAAAAGTGTGTATATATATGTATACATACGTATACATATGGACACGTATATGTATACGTATACATGTACATGTGTATACATATGTGTATACATGGACACGTATATGTAGACGTATACATATGGACACGTATATGTAGACGTATACATATGGACACGTATATGTAGACGTATACATATGGACACGTATATGTATACGTATACATATGGACACGTATATGTATACGTATACATGTACATGTGTATATGTATACGTATACATGTCCATATGTATACGTATATGTATACATATGTATATATACATATGTATATACATATATATGGAACATATGTATATATACATATGTATATACATATATACATGGAACATTAGATGTATGAATAAATAATAATTTGCAGACATGAAGAGATAAATAAATATTCTAGGGGTTGTTAAGAAAAGTTTGATATATAAGAGAAAGTTGTATATAAGATAAAATAACATGCAAAGATTATTTCACAAAACTTTTAATCAAATAAATAGTGGAATTTGGAATAGGAACGAAAGAGTAAGTAGAAATATTCTAAATTCCAATTACATGTGATTGACAGCTCTGCCAGCTATTATTGCTTTGTCCTCACTGAAAGCTACACTTTTTCCAAAATGATTTGGCTTCTGAGCCCGTCAATGAGAAACTAAGTGAGTTGAGTGTTTTCACCTGTGCTTTAGCTTGAGCAGTAAAATGTTAATTAACTTAGGAATTCTCAGGGAGGAGGTTGAGATCTGTCACGAAGGGAAGAGAGAAATGGTGCATTCATCCAGCCACTACTGCTTTGTTCTTTAGGTTTCGCTTAAAGGGCAGTTCCGTTAGTCATTGTGTCTTGGTTGGAATGAGAAGCCTTTGGAATAACAGTGTTCCTGTGTGTGAACGTGAGTAGATGGAATACTTGTTCAGTCTGGATCTTTCTGTTTTTTTCTTAATATAGTTTGCCCCATGGGATTATCTATTGTTTGTCCCGCTGTTTGTGCCCGCTTTTGATAGAAATTGTTCTTTGTTGGAATAGATACAAGCAATGTTTTGGGGAAAAATAAACATGAGAATCATGTGTTTTGGGTACCATCCTATAAATATTTATGAGGAGAGTCTGTGCTATAAATAGAGAGAAATGCTTCATAGAAATAAATGTATGGCAAGATGCTAGGCTAAATTTTTCTCTTCTTTCCTGTCAAAAGTAATAGTCATACTTCAACTTTTCAGTTCTTCCCTCAATCATCCATTTAGTCATATACTCATTCTTTCAACAGAAAATTATTTGAGCACCTACTATGTGCCAAGCAATCTTCTGGGAACTGGGGATATACCTATAAACAAGACAGATAAGTCCATGTTTAAGTTTTTGTGCAAGGATAAAGACAAAAATCAAAGACATGAATAGAAATGTTCAAATGATACTAAGTGTTATTAAGAAAATGCTCTTAATTGAGTCAGTGCTGTCAATTGAGAATGTAGCTGAGGACCCAAAAGGCAAGTGTAGCCCAGCAAACCTCTGGGTGTAGCTGAGGGTTCAAAATGGGAGGCTGTTGCAGCAATCTAATCAGAGATGTTGGCCCAGGATAGCAATTGGGAAAGGTGATGATGAGAAGTGATCAAATTCTGGATATATTTTGAAGGTGCAGATGACAGGATTTGGTGATGGTTAGCTTAGATAGAGGGTGTGAAAGAAAGAGAAGAAACATAGCCAGTTTCCAGGTTTTTGGCCAGAGCAACCGCCAGGGTAGAATTTCCCTTAGCTGAAATGCAGGGGACTGCATGAAGTTTGGGAATGGGGGAAATCAAAAGTTAAGCTTGGGACATAACTTTAGTGTTCCTCTTAGATATCCAGATGGATATGTTGGAGAGTCCCAGGCTGCCCATAGATATGTAGAAGCCATCATTGTATCTGCTATGCTTGAAATCAGGACTGAAAGAGATCTTCACCTAGGGAGTGAGTGCTGCTAGAGAACAGATGCATGGACTGAGCCTGGATGTCCAGGATTAAGAGTTGCAAAGGTGAGAAGGAATCAGCAAAGGGGATTATGATGAAGCAGCCACTGCAGTAAGAGAAAACACAGGAGGGTGAGGTGCCCTGGAAGCCAAGTATGGAAATTATTTTAAGGGATTAGACTAATCAACTGTGTCAAATTCTATAGAGAGGTCAAATTAGGTGAGAACAGAAAATTGATCTTTGGGTTTAGCAACTTGGAGGTAACAAGTGGAAGTTTCAGTGGAGTGCTGGCAAACACTGATTGGAATGAATTCTAGGGAGAATGAATGGGAGGAACTGTAACAGATCATAGACAATATTTTAGAGGAGTTTTCATGTAAAGAGAGTAGAAATAGGACTATAGCTGAAGAGGGAAATGACAGCAAGAGGTTTGCTTTTGATTTTTAAGAGGGCAGAAAATAGTGTGTTAAAAACAGAAACACTACTATGTCCCATCTATCCATTTACTTCTTCACTAAATCAATCAGGGTATTGCTTCCCCTTCTGATCATAGCTATTAAAAATACATGTTTACAATAGAATTTTGCTCATATGAATACTTTGCCTTAAATCATTTCAATGTCTTGTATTGATTTATATGATGAAAATGATAATTTCATCTTACATTGTTGGAAGTCAGCTATTTGACAATCTTAACTTCCCTGGAATAGTTAAGAAGTATGAAAGAAAAGAAAAAGAAAATACCCTCATGAACCCAACATATACCTGAAATCGCTTACTAGAGTGTAAACATTGGTTAAGCTATTTTAACCTTTGATTAGTTTATCTATAATTCTTTTAAGCTGTAATATCCTCTTCCCAAATTCAAAGCAAATTAGAAAAGGGAAGGAGTGTCCCCAAATAGAGGCATTCCAAGGAATAAATGTGTTTCTTTAATGAAAAAAATAAATAAATAAACCCTTAAAAACCAATGAGTATCTCAAAAAACCGTAACATTCTTGAGCCTTTTGAAACACATACAGGAGTACATAGCATTTTTTTTTCATTGTGACAGCATTACTGCAATCTTTCATCTGTATTTTGAAAATCATAGCCTGGCATCATCAAGAAAAATTAAATCACTGATATACAAATAATAAATGTATAATATATTTTAGAAAGATGTCTCTAGGATGAAGACTCTTGATGTCAAAGATCATATTTATCCTGTGCTTTAAACAGTACTTGACATACAGCAGATATTCAAAAACATGCTTGTTGAATTAATGGATGATTCCCCTTTAATGTGACTGTGAAGATTTTTATTTACTTTAAAGGAATATACTCTTTATTATTCAGAAATATTAACTATCTGAAAAATTTAGGATGCTTAATTTGGGAAAGGCTTTTGTAATAAACATTGATTTAGTTGTCATTTCATTTAGCTCCATCTTAGCAGAGGCCTAATACATTTATTTTGCAGTTTCTACTTTCCTTAAGAAGAAAAGTACGCTTAATTGGCAACACAGTCACAGTATGACAACTGTAGAATCACCTTGGATTATACTTTAAAATTTTTTATGGAATTGAGAGCTCTTGTTTTCTTTCTAGATATCTTTTGTCCAAATCCTCCAGCTATCCTTAATGGGAGACACACAGGAACTCCCTCTGGAGATATTCCCTATGGAAAAGAAATATCTTACACATGTGACCCCCACCCAGACAGAGGGATGACCTTCAACCTCATTGGGGAGAGCACCATCCGCTGCACAAGTGACCCTCATGGGAATGGGGTTTGGAGCAGCCCTGCCCCTCGCTGTGAACTTTCTGTTCGTGCTGGTCAGTATCCACTTCCACATATCCTAAATGGGTTCAGAATATGTGGACCCAATCCCTCATGTTTCTGTAATAAGACTATGGTATTTGTTTGTGAGCTTAACTTTGTCATAAGTGTAAATGTCAAAATTACATACCATAGCTAAAACAGATGGGTTTCAGCAGCGCCAAGGTATGTTTGAATCTATAAGATGAAAACTCTTCTTGCTGGTGGAGTGGAAGAGGGTGGGAAAAAGGGACTGAGGGAGGGGTGGAGGGAAGGCAGTAAGGCACAGTTATGTAAATCAGGAAGAAAAATGTATTCACTGGAGACGACATGAAAACATCTGCCTCTGAACACTAACCAGTATCTGTATAATTGACAGTCTCCATAAGTTCATGAGGGGTACATGGGCATGCAAAGTTCAAAATTGGAAATGTGGATATTATTTAGCTAAGGTTTTAAACTAGTGTTCTGCTGCATGGGCTAAGTAACCAAAAAGACTCTCTTTGTCTTGACTTAAAGTTTGTCCACTTGTCATCTTGCCTCCAGGCTGTCTTAATCTTTGTACTTGAACTGTTCCACTCAGGGGGTAAGAAGCAAGGAAAGAGTAGCCCAAAGAAAAGAGTAGGAAAAGGAAGAGGCTATTTCTTCCTAAGGAGGGGAAGAAGTTGCCTGGTCCTTCAGGGCAAACATTAGGCCTTTTCCAGAGCAGAAACTGGAGTAGATTAGGGATGTGGCACCAGCCTTGGAATATTCCATTATCCACAGGGAAGCCCTGAGAGACAAGAGCCAGCCAAGGTGAAAAGACTAAACCTGATGAAAGGCATTTAACCTTTCTTTGACCTTTACTCTCCAACTGAGTGGTACCCATCAGAATGCAGTAAATTTTTTTAATGTAAATGCCTAGACCCCAGTGCAGGCTTAATGAACAGATGGAGGAAGCCTTCTCCAAAAAGGAGGTAATGGAGTTCAGACTCTATTTGAAAATATGCAGCACATGGCTGGGCACAGTAGCTCACACCTATAATCCCAGCACTTTGGAGGCCGAGGTGAGAGGATTGTTTGAGGCCAGGAGTTCAAGACCAACCTGGCCAACACAGCAAGCTCCTAACTCTACAAAAAATAAGACTGAAAAATTGTAAAAACTGTAAAACAAAAAAAGTAAAAATATGCAGCACACAATATACTCTCTCAGAAAGAAGACATAGCTTCTTACAGAAGGCTGATGGCTTAGTCTGTTTTGTTCTGGTTCTTTTTTTGTTTTGTTTTGTGTGTGTGTGTGTGTGTGTGCTTTTTTTGAGAGAGAGGGTCTTACTCTTTTGCCCAGGTGGAGTAGAGTGGTGCAATCATAGTTTACTGCAGCCTTGACCTCCCTGGCTCAAGCAAGCCTCCCATCTCAGCCTGCCAAGTAGGTGGGACCACAGGTGCATGCCACCACACCCAGCTAATTCTTGTATTTTATGTAGACCGGTTTTCATCATGTTGCCCAGGCTGGTCTTGAACTCCTGGGCTAAAGCAATCCACCTGCCTTGGCCTCCCAAAGTGCTGGGACTACAAGGCGTGAGCCACCATGCCCAGCCTATTTTGTTCTATCTTTAAATGCCTGGTTTAGCATCAGAAGAAAAACACTGTATTAGTTTCCTAGGGCTGCTGTAACAAATTACCACAAACTAGGTGGCTTAAAACAAAAGAAACTTATTATTTCACAGTTTTGTAGGCTGAAATTGAGATGTTGGCAGAGGTATTTTCCCATCTTCTAAGGCTCTGGAAAATAACCAATTCTTTACTTCTTCCATCTGCTGCTGGTTCCTGGGATTCCTTGGCATTCCTTGGTTTGTGGATGCATCATTCAAATCCCTGCCTCCATCATAGCCTTTTCCCCTGTGTCTCTATATGTCAAATCCCTCCACTTTTTCCCTGATAGGGACACCAGTCATTGGATTTAGGGCCCACTCTAAATAAAAGATGATCTAATCTCAAGAACCTAATCTTAATTCTATCTGAAAAACCATTATTCCAAATAAGTTTCTATTCTGAGGTTTTAGGTAGAGATATCTTTTGGGAGAACATCATTCAACTCACTACAAGGGGTACCTGCTATGAAAGGCCAGAGAGGCAGCTTATGATGGGCACCCTGAGAATGGAGTATGGAGAGAGATGATAAAATATGTCTTGCTACTCATGAGTGAATTAGCACAAACACATGAAGATTTGAGTGGTTAACTGAGGATATAGGCACTCCGATAGGAGGTCAGAATGTGAAACTACAAGCTGAAGTTCTTGCTTTGGTGAAATAAGGGAAGAAAGATCAGAAAGCTGAGTGGTCTTCCAAATAGTAAAAAAAATCCTGCTGAGTAGATGCATTGAAGAGCTTCATCCCAAGGTAACATCAAGGAGAAGAAAATCTTTTGCTATTCTTGTAAGTCTCTTTGTTTCTGTGATCCACCTATCAGCTTAATTGAAGAGAAAGAGGAGGTAGGGTGGAAGTCTCTCTGCTAACTTTGATATTCCTGTGGTTTTTCTCTCCAGGTCACTGTAAAACCCCAGAGCAGTTTCCATTTGCCAGTCCTACGATCCCAATTAATGACTTTGAGTTTCCAGTCGGGACATCTTTGAATTATGAATGCCGTCCTGGGTATTTTGGGAAAATGTTCTCTATCTCCTGCCTAGAAAACTTGGTCTGGTCAAGTGTTGAAGACAACTGTAGACGTGAGTAACCCCTCCCTGGGAACTACTTCATGTCTGTTAAAGCATAGGTGGGACCGGGCTTGGTGGCTCACGCCTGTAATCCCATCACTTTGGGAGGCCAAGGCTGGCAGATAGCTTGAACTCAGGAGTTCGCAACCAGCCTGGGCAACATGGCCAAACCCCACGTCTACAAACAACAACAACAAAAACAACGTAGGTGGGATTTGATTCAATTTGCTCAAATTTTGGAAGCAAGATGTCTATATTTGCCCAAGATATTTTGATAAAGGAAAGGATGGTCTTGTACATCACCCCTTCTTCTTGCTTGTAGTTCCTGAACCTTGACTAGATGCTCATTTCATGAGAATGGCTCTCACAAAAGAATTAGAGAGAAAATTTACATTCACTGTAGATCATCCTTGATGGCTGACACCATTAAATGAATGAAACAGGGGTACAAAAGAAATTTATGTGAGTTGCAGTGAACTGTGCTTGGCTAACTAAAAATAGGGGAGACATCCCAAATTTTGAGGCCTTTGATTTTGGCTGGCGGAATGAGAGTACAACACTTTAGCCATAAATGACTTGTTTTGTTTTTGTTTTGTTTCTGCTGTTGCTGTTGTGTTTTTTGTTTGTTTGTTTGTTTGTTTCTGAGATGGAGCCTTACTCTGTCACCCAGGCCGGAGTGTAGTGGCGCGATCTTGGCTGCAACCTCCTGGGTTCGAGCAAGTCTCCCTGCCTCAGCCTCTCGAGTAACTGGGATTACAGGCACCCACTCCCATGCCCAGCTAATTTTTGTATTTTTTAGTAGAGATGGGGTTTTGCCACGTTGGCCAGGCTGGTCTTGAACTCCTGACCTCAGGTGATCTGCCGGCCTCGGCCTCCCAAAGTGCTAGGATTACAGGCGAGAGCCCATACATAACCTTTATTAGGAGGTGCAAGATAGTCTTTTTCAAAGTTGTGTTCGTAGCTACATGATTCTGAAGTTGTCTGCCAAGTTTCCTCAAAGCAGTCAATTCCATGAAACAATTGGAACTGTATATGCTGTTTAGTATGCCACACTCCAGTCTGAACCTTACAAAGGTAAGTTGAACTCTATATTTAATCCCAAATTCTGCTTCTTCCCCTAGGAAAATCATGTGGACCTCCACCAGAACCCTTCAATGGAATGGTGCATATAAACACAGATACACAGTTTGGATCAACAGTTAATTATTCTTGTAATGAAGGGTGAGTTGAGAATACCATCTCTTGAATATGAGTTCCAGAACAGCAGAGCCAACTTCTGACCCAGTCTCAGATAGACAAACTAAACTATTGCTCCCTTTACTTTAAAAGCAAGCAATAGGACTTATAGATGGAGATGATACGTTGGACATAGCCATATGATCAAAGGAATACAAAAAAGAAGGTACAATATGTATTGTATTGTAAACCAGAGGAGGGCAACATGTTCCTGTCAAAGGTGGTACATGTGAAACCTGGTCAGGCATTCATTGGATGAAAAGGAGCAGCTTACAAATAAGGAAAAGGAAAAAAGGTAGTTGAACCATGTAAACCTCCTTAACTGAGATCAGTAGGTAATACAGTTGAGTTGGAGGACCCTGAAGCAGAGTTTGGGAGGGTAAACATTAATTGTAACAGCAGCTCTGGAAGAGTATGCATCAAAGTGCACACAGAGAGGAGACATTATGGGGTTCTTGCTCTTGACTTCTCCTTGGGACAAGTAGCCACACCAAAAGCCATTGCCTCAACTGAGAAGGGGCTTTTAAAAACTCTGGAGTGGACCTCCATCAAACTCCAGCAGACCTGCAGCAGAGGGGCCTGACTGTTAGAAGATAAACTAACAAACATAAAGGAATAGCATCAACATTAACAAAAAGGACGTCCACATGAAAACCCCATCCAAAGGTCACCAACATCAAAGACCAATGATAGATAAATCCACGAAGATGAGGAAAAACCAGCACAAAAAGGCTGAAAATTCCCGAAACCAGAATGCCTCTTCTCCTCCAAAGGATCACAACTCCTTGCCAGCAAGAGAACAAAACTGGGTGGAGAATGAGTGAGTTGGACAGATTGACAGAAGTAGGCTTCAGAAGGTGGGTAATAACAAACTCCTCTGAGCTAAAGGAGCATGTTCTAACCCAATGCAAGGAAGCGAAGAACCTTGAAAAACAGGTTAGAGGAATTACTAACTAGAATAACCAGTTTAGAAAAGAACATAAATGACCTGATGGAGCTGAAAAACACAGCACAAGAACTTCATGAAGCATACACAAGTATCAATAGCCGAATCGATCAAGTGAAACAAAGGATATCAGAGATTGAAGATCAACTTAATGAAATAAAGCATGAAGACAAAAAAAGAATGAAAAGGAATGAACAAAGCCTCCAAGAAATATGGGACTATGTGAAAAGACCAAACCTACGTTTGATTGGTGTACCTGAAAGTGACGGGGAGAATGGAACCAAGTTGGAAAACACTCTTCAAGATATTATCCAGGAGAACTGCCCCAACCTAGCAAGACAGTCCAGCATTCAAATTCAGGAAATACAGAGAACACCACAAAGATACTCCTTGAGAAGAGCAACCCCAAGACACGTAATTGTCAGATTCACCAAGGTTGAAATGAAGGAAAAAAATGTTAAGGGCAGCCAGAGAGAAAGGTCGGGTTACCTACAAAGGGAAGCCCATCAGACTAACAGTGAATCTCTCTGCAGAAACCCTACAAGCCAGAAGAGAGTGGGGGCCAATATTCAACATTCTTAAAGAAAAGAATTTTCAACCCAGAATTTCATATCTAGCCAAACTAAGCTTCATAAGTGAAGGAGAAATAAAATCCTTTACAGACAAGCAAATGCTGAGGGATTTTGTCACCACCAGACTTGCCTTACAAGGGCTCCTGAAGGAAGCACTAAACATGGAAAGGAATAACTGGTACCAGCCACTGCAAAAACATACCAAATTGTAAAGACCATCAACAATATGAAGAAACCACATCAACTAATGGGCAAAATAACAAATCAGCATCATAATGACAGGATCAAATTTACACATAACAATTCTAACATTAAATGTAAATTGGCTAAATGCCCCCAGTTAAAAGACACTGACTGGCAAATTGGATAAAGAGTCAAGACCCATTGGTGTGCTGTATTCAGGAGACCCATCTCATGTGCAAAGACACACATAGGCGCAAAATAAAGGGATGGAGGAATATTTACCAAGCAAATGGAAAGCAAATAAAAGCAGGGGTTACAGTCCTAGTCTCTGATAAAACATACTTTAAACCAACGAAGATCAAAAGAGACAAGAGCATTACATAATGGCAAAGGATGCAACAAGAAGAGCTAACTATCCTAAATATATATGCACCCAATACAGGAGCACCCAGATTCATAAAGCAAGTTCTGAAAGATCTATAAAGAGACTTAGATTCCCACACAATAATAGTGGGAGACTTTAACACCCCACTGTCAGTATTAGACAGGTCAACGAGACAGAAAATTAACAAGGATATTCAGGACCTGAACTCAGCTCTGGACCAAGCAGACCTAATAGACATCTATAGAACTCTCCACCCCAAATCAGCAGAATATACATTCTTCTCAGCACCACATAGCAATTATTCTAAAATTGACCACATAATTGGAAGTAAAGCACTCCTCAAAATGCAAAAGAATGGAAATCATAACAAACAGTCTCTCAGACCACAGTACAATCAAATTAGAACTCAGGATTAAGAAACTCTCTCAAAACTGCACAACTACATGGAAACTGAACAGCCTGCTCTGAATGACTACTGGGTAAATAACGAAATGAAAGCAGAAATAAGTAAGTTCTTTGAAACCGATGAAAACAAAGACACAATGTACCAGAATCTCTGGGACACAGCCAAAGAGTGTTTAGAGCACTAAATTTATAGCACTAAATGCCCACAGGAGAAAGCAGAAAAGATCTAAAATCGACGCCCTGACATCGCAATTAAAGAACTAGAGAAGCAAGAGCAAACAAATTCAAAAGCTAGCAGAAGAGAAGAAATAACTAAGATCAGAGCAGAACTGAAGGAGATAGAGAAACAAAAAACCCTTCAAAAAATCAATGAATCCAGGAGCTGGTTTTTTGAAAAGATTAACAAAATAGACCACTAGCCAGACTAATAAAGAAAAAGAGAGAAGAATCAAATAGACACAATAAAAAATGATAAAGGGGATATCACCACTGATCCCACAGAAATACAAACTACCATCAGAGAATACTATAAACACCTCTACGCAAATAAACTAGAAAATCTAGAAGAAATGGATAAATTCCTGGATACATACAACCTCCCAAGACTAAAACAGGAAGAAGTCGAATCCCTGAATAGGCCAAAAACAAGTTCTGAAATTGAGGAAGTAATTAATAGCCTACCAACCAAAAAAAGCCCAGGAACAGATGGATTCATAGCTGAATCCTACCAGAGGTACAAAGAGGAGCTGGTACCATTCCTTCTAAACTATTCCAAACAATAGAAAAAGAGGGACTCCTCCCTAACTCATTTTATGAGGCCAGCATCATCCTGATACCAAAACCTGGCAGAGACACAATAAAAAAGGAAAATTTCAGGCCAATATCCCTGATGAACATTGATGCAAAAATCCTCAATAAAATACTGGCAAACAAAATTCAGCAGCACATCAAAAAGCTTATCCACAACGATCAAGCTGGCTTCATCCCTGAGATACAAGGCTGGTTCAACATACGCAAATCAATAAACGTAATCCATCACATTAACAGAACCAATGATAAAAACCACATGATTATCTCAATAGATGCAGACAAGGGCTTCGATAAAATTCAACAGCCCTTCATGCTAAAAACTCTCAATAAACTAGGTATTGATGGAATATGTCCCAAAATAATAGGAGCTATTTATAACAAACCCACCACTAATATCATACTGAATGGGCAAATGCTGGAAGCATGCGCTTTGAAAACCAGCACAAGACAAGGATGCCCTCTCTCACCACTCCTATTCAACATAGTATTGGAAGCTCTGGCCAGGGCAATCAGGCAAGAGAAAGGAATAAAGGGTATTCAAATAGGAAGAGAGGAAGTCAAATTGTCTCTGTTTGCATATGACATGACTGTATATTTAGAAAACCCCATTATCTCAGCTTAAAATATCCGTAATCTGATAAGCAACTTCAGCAAAGTCTCAGGATACAAAATCAATGCAAAAATCACAAGCATTCCTATACACCAATAATAGACAAACAGCGAGCCAAATCATGAGTGAACTCCCATTCTAAATTCCTGCAAAGTGAATAAACTACCTTGGAATACAACTTACAAGGGAAGTGAAGGACATCTTCAAGGAGAACTACAAACCACTGCTCAAGGAAGTAAGCGAGGACACAAACAAATGAAAAAAACATTTCACGATTGTGGATAGGAAGAATCAATATCATGAAAATGGCCATACTGCCCAAGGTAATTTATACAGTCAATGCTATCCCCATCAAATTACCAATGGCTTTCTTCACAGAATTACAAAAAAAAAAAAAAAAAAACTACTTTAAACTTCATATGGAACCAAAAAATAGCCCATATAGCCAAGACAATCCTAAGCAAAAAGAACAAAGCTGGAGGCACCACGCTACATGACTTCAAACTATACTATAAGGCTACAGTAAGCAAAACAGCATCGTACTGGTACCAAAACAGATATATAGACCAATGGAACAGAACAGAGGCCTCAGAAATAATGCCACACATCTACAACCATCTGATCTTTGATGAACCTGACAAAAACAAGCAATGGGGAAAGGATTCCCTATTTAATAAATGGTGTTGGGAAAACTGGCTAGCCAGATGCAGAAAACTGAAGCTGGACCCCTTCCTTTACATCTTATACAAAAACTAACTCAAGATGTATTAAAGACTTAAATGTAAGACCTAAAACTATAAAAACCCTAGAAGAAAACCTAGGCAATACCATTCAGGACATAGGCATGGGCAAAGACTTCATTACTAAAACACCAAAAGCAATGGTAACAAAAACCAAAATTGACAAATGGGATCTAATGAAACTAAAGAGCTTCTGCACAGCAAGAGAAACTATCATCAGAGTGAACAGACAACCTACAGAATGGGAGAAAATTTTTGCAATCCATCCATATGACAAAGGACTAATATCCAGAATCTACAAGGAACTTAAACAAATTTACAAGAAAAAACAACCCTATCGAAAAGAGGGCAAAGGATATGAACAGACATTTCTCAAAAGAAGACATTTATGCAGCCAACAAACATGAAAAAAAGCTCATCATCACTGGTCATTAGAGAAATGCAAATCAAAACCACATTGAGATACCATCTTGGGCCAGTTAGAATGGCAATCACTAAAAAGTCAGGAAACAACAGATGCTGGAGAGGATGTGGAGAAATAGAAATGCTTTTACACTGTTGGTGGGAGTGTAAATTCGTTCAACCATTGTGGATGACAGTGTGGTGATTCCTCAAGGATCTAGAACCAGAAATACCATTTGACCCAGCAATCCCATTACTGAGTATATACCCAAAGGATTATAAATCATCCTTCTATAAAGACACATGCACACGTATGTTTATTGCAGCACTGTTCACAATAGCAAAGACTTGGAACCAACCCAAATGCCCATCAATGATAGACTGGATAAAGAAAATGTGGCACATATACACCATGGAATACTATGCAGCCATAAAAAAGGATGAGTTCATGTCCTTTGCAGGGACATTTATGAAGCTAGAAACCATCATTCTCAGCAAACTAACACAAGAACAGAAAACCAACCACCGCATGTTCTCATTCCTAAGTGGGAGTTGAACAATGAGAACACATGGACACACCGAGGGGAACATCACACAGTGGGGCCCGTCAGAGGGTAGGAGTCCAGGGGAGGGATAGCATTAGGAGAAATAGCCAATGTAGATGATGGGTTGATGGTGCAGCAAACCACCATGACATGTGTATACCTATGTAACAAACCTGCACGTCCTGCACATGTATCCCAGAATTTAAAGTATGATAATAAAAAAAAGACTGTGTACTCATTTTTGGTTGCCATGATAAATTCAGAGAGGAAAAACATGATATATATTAAATTTTACTGCAACAACTAACTGCCCCTTGTCATCAGCCTATTCTGTCACTAGAGTGAGTCAGTATTCCTCTTTTCTGACTGTCTGAGCCTGGACGATTTAAACTGCTTTTCACACAACCTCTTGCCCAACCTTTTCTCACCTCCCATTGTGAATGAACATAGATTTCCCTATGGTAAACAAAACAAAATATCACCAAATCTAAGGCAAGATAAAGAAATTGAAGATAAAAGAAACCAACCCAAGAGATCAGAGAAATATTCATCTGCACAACAGCTTCCTCCAATAAACAGGGGACAATCTTTAAAAATCTCTCATATGTGTTTGTAACATAGAATCGATGGAACTATATGAGGCATTTATAAGATTTAATGATCTGATATCAGAAAAGTTGAGATTTGAATGAAACACATGGGAGTCGGAAAAGGAGTGATGACTGGTAGATTGGAGCCTGCCCCCAACCCCCGGAAAAAAAAAAAAAAAACACCAAAGGGATAATGAAGACAAGATTGAATTCTCCAGAATTCATCAAGGACCAGACTTGAAATGACACATATATACACACAAACACACTACACACAAACACACAGGGATATAATATAGAAATTCCAGAAAAAATAAAAGAAAGCAGAATGAATAGAAGCATTAATTAGCACATAATGGAAGACAATTTCTCAGGCTATAAAGAAAAATACTAAGTTGATCCTTGAAGGCTTACTAGACAAATCAAGATTAACAACAATGGGCCCCGGCCCTACATGGAAGAAAATTATGCCATCCAAATATAAAAAAATACTGCCACTCTCCAGAAATAACAAAAAAGAAGAAATTCATCTTAGCACCAAGCTTCCGTTCTGTAACACTAAGTAGTAGAAGTTAGTGTTTGAGAGGAAATATTGTACAATAAAATTTCTGTACTCGGCCAAGCTGCCATTCATCTGCAAGGCACAGATGCATCGTCTTAAATAAGAAGGAACCCCAAACATACACCAGTTAGATATACTGCCTACAAAAAGAAAAACTCCCACAAAGCTGTGGGAGTTTTTCTTTTTGAAGAAGAAATCAAAATTCCAAATGGTGTTGTATCAAAGAAATATTAATGAGGCACAAAACTAGTTAAATGGGGTCACTAAAACTGTTTTATTTAATATGGAAATAAAATATCAAAGCAGGACTAATTCTTGAAAGATAATTCATGTAATATGAAAAGAAGAAGAAACTTGATATAAAAAATAGATTTTATCACTTCAGCTAGGAAGTTAGAGATGAAGTAAGAAAAACCATCATAAACTTATCATATGTAGGGGACACATATTCTTGACATAAAAAATAAGGAGAAAATGGTACTTCACACCAGTATAAAATCTATATATCTATATCTATATATATCTATATCTATATCTATATATATATATATAATCAAATTTTAAAAGATAATCAGAAGGGCGAAACCACTTGGTCCATAAAACAAAAGAGGGGTGAGAGAAACAAGAGCTAGCAAGCTTTCTGTCTCTCTTTTGGGAAACTAGCATTATTACGTTAAAGTGAATTAATACATGTATTTTAATGCCTCAGTTTTTCTTTCTAATATAATAAATATTAACAGATATAAACTCCATTGGTAAAATCACTTTGAGGTCCTTAATACTTCTTAAAGTGGCCGGGCGCTGTGGCTCATGCCTGTAATCCCAGCACTTTGGGAGGCTGAGGCGGGCAGAACACCTGAGGTCGGGAGTTCAAGACCAGCCTGGCCAACATGGAGAAACCCTGTCTCTACTAAAAAATACAAAATTAGCCAGGTGTGGTGGCGCATGCCTGTAATCCCAGCTACTCGGGAGGCTGAGGCAGGAGAATCACTTGAACCCGGGAGGCGGAGGTTGCAGTGAGCCGAGATGGTGCCACTGCACCCCAGCCTGGGCAACAAGAGCGAAACTCTGTCTCAAAAAATAATAATAATAATAATAACAATAACAATAACAAAAATGTTTAAGAGTGAAAAGAATTCTTGAGACCAAAAAAGTTTAAGAACTAGGGCTTGATGATGTTCAAGCAAAGATAGGAAAAGGCTATTGCAAGTACGGTACAAAGCACAGGGGGAAGGTTTCATAAGTATATATATAATATATATATAATATAACATAAAATTCATATATATTATAAAAATAATAAATATGATATAAATTTGATATAAAATATTATATAAATCTGATTTTTAACATATTTTGATTTTATACTGGTGTAAAGTACTATTTTCTCTTTATTTTTTACATCAAGAATATGTATCCCCTACATAGTATAAGTTTATCATAGTTTTTCTTACTTCATTCCTAACTTCCTAGTTGTAGTGATAAAATCTATTATTTTATATCAATAAAAATATTGATATAAATTTTATTTACATGATATACAATATTTAAATATAACATATTTTATATTACAAAATATACTACTATGTATTACAAAAAAAAAAACAAACTCCATTTAGCAGAGCAAGAATGGAGTTTGTTTTGTACAGTGCTGAGTTCCAACCCATAGAATTGTTAAATAAATAAAAAGGAAAGAACACTATAAGATCAAACTCATCAGTTATAATAGTAAATGTGAATGATTCCAATCCCCCCTTTTGAAAGACAAAGGCTTCTAAATATGGTCAGAATCCTATTTACAGTAGCACCAAAAAGAATAAAATACTTAGGAATCAATTTAATCAAGGAGGCACAAGACCTGTGCACTGAAAACTCAGTAACTGAAAATGAGCAAATGATGTGATAGACATGTCTCCAAGGGAAATATACAAATGCCCAATAAACACATCAAAAGATGTTCAACATCATTAGTCATTAGGGAAGTGCAAGTCAACCTGACTTTGTACTAGGATGTTTTGTATTAGGATGGTTATAATATTTTTAAAAAATAGGAAATAAAAGGTGTTGGCGAGGATGTGGAGAAATTAGAACGCTTATACATTGCTGGTGGAAATGTAAAATGGTGTAGCACTGTGGAAAACAGTTTGATGATTCCTGAAAAAGTTAAACATAGAATTACCATATAACCAGCAATTCTGCTCCTAGGCATATACCTAAAGAAATTGAAAACAAGGACTGAAGCAGATGCTCAAATACCAATGTCCGTAGCAGCTTTGTTCAAAATAGCCAAAAGGTAGAAACAACCCAAGTATCTACGAGCAGATGAATGGATAAATGAAATGGAGCTTATCCATTCCATGGAATATTCTTCAGCTATACAAAGGAATAGAGTTCTGATACATGCTACAAGATGCATAAACTTTAAAAACATTATGCTAAGTGAAATGAGCCAGACACAAAAGGATAAATACTGTATTCCACTTTTATGAGGTGCCAAAAATAAGAAAATTTATTGGACTAAAAATAGATTAGAGATAACCAGTGGAAGGAGAGAATAGGGAGTTACAACTCAATACATCCAGTTTCTCATTGGGATGGTGAAAATTTTTGGAACTAAGCAGTGATAATGGTTGTATAATGTTGTGAATGTCATTGATGCCACTGAATTATACCCTTAAAATGGTTTTAATGGCAAATTTTATGTTGTATCTCTTTTAAAACAATAAGAAAGAAAAAAATTTTTAAATATATCATGTGATATTAGGAAAGAAAAAAACAGATAACAGTATAAGAAAAATAAGAATTTAAAACATATCAAATAAGATTTAAAAATTTTGTTTAAGATATTGATACTTGGTCCAGTGCACAATAAAGACAAGAACTTTTTTTTTTTTCTTTTGAGATGGAGTCTCGCTCTGTCACCAGGCTGGAGTGCAGTGGCACTATCTCGGTTCACTGCAACCTCCGCCTCCAGGGTTCAAGCCATTATCCTGCCTCAGCCTGCCGAGTAGCTGGGACTACAGGCATGCGCCACCACGCTGAGCTCATTTCTGTATTTATAGTAGAGACAGGGTTTCACCATGTTGGCCAGGATGGTCTTGATCTCTTGACCTCGTGATCTGCCTGCCTCGGCCTCCCAAAGTGCTGGGATTACAGGTGGGAGCCACCGCGCCTGGCCTGAAGACAAGAACTTTTGAACAAGAGAGCGCTAACTAACGTATTGAAATACATAAAACAAATACTGATATATAGAAGAGCTCATTCAGCTGTTTCAAAGACAGAGCTCTGTAACACATGTACTCTTACCTAAAGAACTGTCTCCCACCACTGGAAAGGAGGTCTTCTCTGACCAAATACACAGCATCTTGGAGTTGGCCAGCATTAACTTGGATCATCTGGCTGGCCAGGAAAGGAGTGCTCAGGGAGAAAGAGGATGGTCACCATCCCAACCAGATTGGCCATTAGATCTATGTATCAACAGAGTGACATACGGGAGAATTAAAATTCTAGTATGCAAAAATACACCGTATGTTAACAGAAAATAGACTGCAGGGAAATTTGTATTAGGTAAAACCGAGAGAAAGTTAAGAGCATACAACAGTAGATAAGCAATAGACAACCCGATATAAAAATGAGGAAAGAATATGCACAGGCAATTCACAAAAGGAAACATAAAAATGGCCTTAAAAATTGCTAAAATAAATATTTAAGCAAAAAAGCTCAACTTCACTATGGTTTGGGGAAATGCAAATTAAAGCAACAATATGTCATGTTTTCACAGTCACATTAATAAAAGTTTAAAAGACGGAAGTAGAGGTAAATAGGAATTTGAGGAAAAGGAGCCCTCTCATAGTGGTTCATTGGAATGTGAATTGCTGCAGCTTTCAAAAAAAAATCTTACACTATCCACAAACAATGAAAGCATAGATATCTTCTTAGCTACTAATCCCACTCCTAGGAAAAGGAGTATTAATTACAATAGGTTCTTTATTGCAGTATTGTTTATATAAGCAAAAAGAGCAAACAACCTTGACATCCTTCTATTAGCAGTAGGTTGAATAAATCATAAGACGTCTACTATGAACTATTTTGCAGCAATCAAGAAGACTTAATTAGATCTCTGTTTAGTGATTTGAATGGGTGACCATGTTGTGATGTCAACAGAAAAAAATAATTTGCAGAAAAGCATATAGAGTTTGTTCTCAATTTGGAAAAATAATGACAAATTTGGAGGAGATATCCTATACACATATGTGTGTTTGATTGGGTTTGGAAAAATCAGGACCACCTGAGATGGAGGTGGGAGTGACAAAATATACATGGTATACTAAGTGAATATATAGGTTATACAATTACGTTGTTAAATTTCTGAAAACAAGTGCAACTTAAGCATATAACTAAGGAGTAGATGTTAACCTGGACAAATGAAACATAGATTGTTTTGAGCAAGAGACGGCAAAATTTTTTGTCAAGAGCCAGATAGCAAAATTTTCAATTTTGCAGACCATGCAATCTCTATTGCAATTACTCAGTTCTGCCATTGCAGTGGAAAAATAGCCCTAGACAAATGAATGTGTGATTGTATTTTGATAAAACTTCATTTACAAATACGTGCTATAGAACAAATTTGGCCTGTGAGCCATAGGGTGACAATCTCCGGTTAGATGAAGGGATTGAGAGCATTATTTTTCTTCAATTCTTGTCATTATGCAAAGTCAGAGAATTTTCTAAAATAAATAAAAATACAAATTGGCAAAATAATAATAGTTGAAAACTTCAGATTGGGCAAATAAGTGAACAAATAATCACATGTTGAGGAATAAGGCTGCTTTGATTCTTGTGTGTTCAACTTTGAAACCTTTATCACAGTTATAAAAACCATTTATAAAAGTGATATAACTCCACAGAGTATACCTCAATAAATTTGCACATAGAAGAAATCAAAATGGGTATATTTTCTCATCGCAATACACCAAAAACTAGGAATTAATAAGCAAATGATACATTAAAAATTCAAAGTTTTAGAAAACGGAGTACCTTAGATCTTGATCAAAGAGAAATTTAAAAACAGCCATTGCAGATTACCTGGAGAATAACAATCGCTAATGATCCTCAAGTGCATGTGCCTCAAGCATTCTTCTAAGTCCTTTACTTGAATTGATTTACTTAGTCTTTAAAAGACCCTTTGAAATGGATATCATGCATATCCCTCATTGTATAGAAGAGAAAACTGAGACAGACAGGTTAACTAATTTGTCCAAATTCATGTGACAGGTTGAGGTTAGAATTAGAATATCGCCAGTCAGCTTCAACAACCTGTAATGGTAAGCCTTACATTATTTATCTTCTTAATTAGGAATGCTGAAACATATATTACTCATAAAAATTTCTGGGGTGCTGATGCCAAAACTGTCCTCAGAGAAATTTTTCAATCCTTTTTGTTACTTGACAGGAAAAAATTCAAATAAATGAACAAAACATTTCTTAACAATTTTTAAATTATTAAAAACATATATAAAAGGCTGCTGGAGTAAGGAATTAATAAAGTAATGAACAAAGAAAAAATCATAGAAATTATAAAGAAATCTAAAAGCAGATTCTTTAAAGTGACCAATTATAAAACAAACAGACTGGGTCAATTGTCATTTCACAAAATAACAATTCTATAAATATACAAGAATGAGAAAGAAGACATAAGCCTGTTGATATTGAAGAGATTTAATACTTGATAAAAATATTATATCTTCTCTATTCTAATAAAATTAAAACTATCCATGAAATGTACCATGTCAGAAGAAAAATACAATTTACCAGGTGTAGTTTAAAATAGGCAGAATTGCTGATAAACCCATATCTGTTTGAGTCCATATTTTCAATTCTTTTAGGTATATACCCAGAAGTGGAATTCCTGGGGGATATGGTAATTCTGTTTAACTTTTCAAAGAATTGCCAGACTATTTTCCACAGCTGCTGTACCATTTTACATCCCCATCAGCAATGCACAAATGTTCCAATTTCTCTACATCCTCACCAACACTTGTCATTTTTCTGGTTTAAAAAAAATTATTATTATACCACCCTAAAAGGGGCTGAAGTCAGTTTGATTTACATTTTCCTAATGACTAATGATGTGGAGCATCTTTTCTTGTGTTTATTGGCCATTTGTATGTCTTTTTTGGAAAAATGTCTATTCTCATCCTTTGTCCATTTCGTAATTGGGTTGTTTGTTTCATTGTTATTGAGTTACAGGAGTCCTTTATATGTTCTAAGTATTAAATCCTTATCAGATAGGGTTTTCACATATTTTCTATCATTCTGTGGGTTGTCTTTTTAATCTCTTGGTGGTATCTTTTGTTCTTGACTTGGACTGCAGGACACTTCAGTTCCTCACTACATGGGCTTCTCCAAAGGACAGCTGGCCTCTCCCAGAATGAGCATCTCAAAAAGAGAAGAAAACATTGCAGTGCTTTTTGTGGTTAGCCTCTGAAGTTGCACACTATATCATTTCCACTTTATTCTAATCATTAGAATCAAGTCACAAAGCACAGCCCACATTCAAAAAGAGAGGAATTGGGCTCCATCACTTGAAGGGACATGTATAAAATAATTTGTGGACATATTTAAAACCACCACAAAGAAGCACCTTTAAAAAAAGACAATGGCCCAGTTTTGTAACTCTTTTTTAACTTCAAGAAATAGATAATCCAAGTATTAATATTATTTAAACTGTTATGGAACATAGAAATAAAATTATAGCCATAATTAAAGTTTGCCAAAGATTACAAATGAAAATAAAATAAAATATATCTCTGGCTCATTTGCTAATATAAATACTAAAAATCTTAAATTGACTATTAAATAAAACCAATATTAAAAGAATTATGCAAGGGGAACAAGTAAGGTTATTCCAGAAATGGTTCCAAATTAGGAAACCCACAAACTTACAATATTAAAGAGTACAACTTTTCTTAAATGTCATATAAATATACTCTCTAATGCCAAAAAACACAATGAATGGTTAAAATCTAAAAGCATGCTTGAATATAATTAAAGTTCAAAGGAAAAGAACACTCGGCATCCTTCCTATTATTCAAAGTAGTTGTGGAAATTCAAACCAGTAAAATGACAGCCCCCTGTATTTAGAGAGATATACATATAGATATAGATAGAGAGAGAGAGAAGGCAAATTTATTATTAACTGATGGTTGTTTACCTGAAAACCCGAAGGAATTATTTGAAAGGTTATTAGAATAGGAAATGGTAGTGAGATATCGAGTAAAAAATAAATACTTATAAATTAATTACTTTCTTTATGTAGGTAACAACCAAATAGAATATAAGGAGGAAAAATACCATTCACAACAGAAACAAAATCATCTAGAAAGAAATTTAACAGGAAATATATAGGACTTATAAGCAGAAGATTTAAAAGAGGGGGACATAGAAAAATACTTCAAGAAATGGAAGATATAATATTTTATTTAAAAGATTTAATGTTGTGGTGATGTTAATTATCCCTGAATTAGTATGCAAATTTAATGTAATCAGTTTCAATGACATTCTTTTTTTTAATTTGACAAGATGTCTGTAAATGTCATGAGACCCACCAACAGAATATTCTGAGATAATAACAAGAAGGGTGTTTGATACCAGATCAGAGGTGGGTTTGATACCCACCTCTCAGTGTCTGGTAACCACCTTTCTACTCTCTACTTCTACGAGTTCAACTATTTTAGATTTCACATGTAAGAAAGATCATGCGGTATTAGTTCTTCTGTCCCTAGCTTATTTTGGAAGGTATTTTAAGGCACAAATATGTTGTAGTGTAATTATGTTGTAATTTTTCCTGACCTGATGTCCCACGTCTGTAAAATTCTTTTATTGAAGCCTAGGCTCTTTCCCTAGGACTCCCTGTCTGGAATCATAAATATCTTACTTCTGTACTTAACAGAATTGTTCTGTCTGCATATAGTCCCCACTTTTTCTCCAAGTAGTTTCTCAAACAAATGCACTTCCTTTCCTGAAAAGATGAGTAAGATTTTAACAGCTTTAAATCTTTATATATAGATATATTTTAAGCCAAACGACTACACTGTACATGGTTTTATAGCCCTCTTTAATACTTACGAACTATATTGTATAATTATTCTAATTATTATATATTACTCTACAACACCATTTTTAGTGGTTGCATTTTGGTTATTACTTGGATAGTCCATAACCTACCTAACAAAGTCCTTAATGTCTGGAATTAAAGTGGTTTCGCATTTCAACTGTTAGCAAAAACACTACAATGCACGATCCTGCACACGTGAAAAGAAATGAGATGAGGACTTCACTAACTTCAAAGACAGCTTAAGGATTCAGATCTTCACATGTACACAAGAGACAAGATTTGCAGATTTGAGTGAAAGGCTATGCACGATTTTAAGCCTTTCAGTACATATTGCCAAAGTGCCCTCCACTAAACTTTGACCATGACCTACGGAGTGAGTCACAACAGTGACTCTTTCTTTGAGTTTATATTACTGCTAGGTTTTGTCAATTTGCCAATCTAATGGGCAAAAACGGCATTTTATTTGCATTTTAAAGTGTATTTATCATGTTTATAAGGAAGCTAAACTTTTCATATGTTCATTTGACTATTTCCATTTTTCGTTTGTAAATTATTTGTTCATAATTCTTTACCATTTTTCTACTTGGGTGTTTGCCTTTTTATAATTGATGTATAAGAGTTGTTTTTATTATTTTTCCTCTGTGGTTTGTCTTCAAATTTGTATGTAGAAAGGTTTATTTGTAATTATTCAGTTTTATCAGTTTTGTTCATAGTAGAATTTTTCCTCAATGTATGTCTATAGAAGCCTCAAATCAGAAACACGTTTGCCTAAATCACCTAGTTCTTTTATGGTTTTATTTTTGACATTTAATCTTTGATACACACGGATTTTGCTTTGATGAATGTCATGAGGCAGAGATCTAGCTTAGCTTTTCAGATATTTGCCCTATCAATGAATAATTCAGTTTTCCGTGTCTTGAAATGCCATCTTTATCACTGCCAATTTCTTACAAAAACTTGTATCTATTTCTTGGGCTTTCCCCCATTTTGCTCTAGGGATCTGTGTCTCTATTCCTGCATCATTTCAATTATTTTACATTTTAAATGCATTTTAACATCCCTTCTGTTTTTGTGCCTTAAAATACCTTCCAAAATAAGCTAGGCACAGAAAAACTAATGCCACATGATCTTACTTCCATGTGAAATCTAAAACAGTTGAACTCATAGAAGTAGAGAGTAGAAAGGTGGTTACCAGGCACTGAGAGGTGGGGAGCTGAGATTTGGTCAAAGGGCGCAGGGTTTCAGTTAGACAGGAGGAGTAAGTTTCAGAGATCTATTCCACAGCATGGTGACTATAGTTAATAATAATGTGTATTTCCAAATTGCTGGCCGGGCACAGTGTCTCATGCCTATAGCTCTTTGGGAGGCTGAGGCATACGAATTGCTTAAGCCTAGAAGTTAGAAACTAGGCTGGGCAAAATGGCAAAACCCTGTCTCTACCAATAAATACAAAAATTAGCCAGGCATGGCAGCGCATACCTGTAGTCCCAGCTACTCGGGAGGCTAAGGTGGGAGAATGGTTTGAACCTGGGAGGCAGAGGTTGCAGTAAGCCAAGATCACATCACTGCACTCCAGCCTGGGTGATAGATCCAGACCCTGTCAAAAAAAAAAAAAAGAAAGAAAGAAAAGAAAAAGAAAGGGAAAAAAAATTGCTAGAAGAGTAGATTTTAAATATTCTCACCACACACACACACACACACACACACACACACACAAAACAAATATGAGAGGTGACGGACATGTTAATTAGCTTAATTTAATCATTTGCAACAGAAACATATATCAAAACACCACATTTTACCCTATAAATATATACAATTATTGTTTGTTCATAAAAATAAAATCAGATTTTAAAAAATATTCACTGTGTTTTTTTCAGCCATACATAGGCTGGAACCTTCTTCACATTTTGGCTCCAACAATCTAGCTTAGTCACAGCGAGCACATCTAAAACAACCTCTAGGAGGCCAAAAGTCAGAGGACTCCCATGATCCTGTGCTCTTAGACAACTTTTAAATGTATGATAGGAGACAGGCAGAGGAAAACACAGGTAATAATGGGATTATCCTTTTCTTTCCTTTCTCCAGTGGTTCTCAACTTGTTTAATTGCAGCAATTTTTAAGATTTTTTTTCTTGGCACACTTGAAAAGATTGTATACCATAGCCTAAACAGGCTAGCAATAAGTAAAATTCAATCAGTACCTAAAACGTAAAAGAGACTCACTGTGTCTACAAAAACATTGACGGTCATTGCCATAGTCACACAGTTCCCTTTAGCTTTCTGTCACTGTTTCGGGAAGAGCTGGTATATCAGTTAGGATTTCCAGCTGTAAAAGACAGAAGAAATAAAATAACAGGATCTCAAACATAGATAGTAGTTTACTTCTGTCTCAGGTTAAAAATCACGAAAGTAGGCAGTCCAGGGTTTATACGATGACTCCATAATCCACAGAAACCTGGGTTCCTTCCACTTTGCTACTCTGACCTCTTCAAAATGAGAGCCCATCTTATCTCATGGTCTAAACTCCAGCCAGTATAGAGGACACAGGGAAGAAGGGAAGGCCAATTCCTTTAAAGACACTTTCCAGAAGTTGCACAAGACACTCCACTTACATCCTCTGGCCAGAAGTTAGTAACATGGCTATGCCCGGCTGTAAGGAAAGGTGAGAAGTGAAACCTTTATTGCAGGTGGCCAATGGCCCAGTTAAAAATAGAGGGTTCCATTACTAATGAAGGAGAGGAAAGTGGATACTAGGGATGGCACCAGTAGTCTTTGCTACAAATGGTTACTGCCCTGATCACATTTCTTACATAATCAAGAGGAAAAGTTCTTAACTGTTGCAGTTACTGCCTCATCATTATATGGCATTCCATTTTACCCTTTAATTTTTACTTGGTCAAGTTTAGGCCTGCTGTACACCAGAACACATGAATAGCTTTGCTCAGCATTCTTTGTGACGTTGCTCACAGTAACATTATGGATACCTAATAAATTTTTTAAAAGACAAAATGTTCTACGTTTTGTGGCCTACTCTGGATGGCTTTAAGGTAAAGTGGGTGAGTATCCCTACCCTTTACATTTCAAGTGTAGGGGTGTTTAGCTGTCTCTTCTGGCTCTCATTTACTGACTCTTCTGGGTAAATCCATTGTTCTTTCTTTTATACAAGAGACTATCTGAGCACCCAAAACTTGAAAGTCTCTAAGCTAGGTGCTATAGTGTTAAATATTTCAGTAAGATATTTTCCCTGCTTAATCCAGGAGCTTGTCATTTCCTTGCTGGAAGTACACATGGATAAAATAACTGCAAGGTTTCTGAAAGACTTAAGTACAAAAATGTCCTGCAAAGAAAAAGGGAAATATCTCATTCAGTTGTGAGGGATTAGGAATAAAAATGAATTGGAGAGGTCAAAATGTAAGCTTGTCCTCAAAAAGAAAGGACTAATTTGCAGATGGAGATGGGGTTTCTTCCTTCCGAGGTCTGCCATGGTGTAATCTGTCCTGTAATGTCTAATGTCTACCTGCTATTATTTTCTAAATGGTGAGTTAAATGGGAAATATGTGTAGCGTATAACCATTTTCTATCCTTTGCTTTAGGTTTCGACTCATTGGTTCCCCATCTACTACTTGTCTCGTCTCAGGCAATAATGTCACATGGGATAAGAAGGCACCTATTTGTGAGAGTAAGTTGAAATACTTTTCTCCACAAATTCCTCTGTGTGATCCTGACTTGCCCCTGGAGTACAAAGAATAAATTGAATCCTTCTTGCACAAAGTAGTCTCTCAGATATTTGAAAATAGGAGTCAGATGCTTCATGGTCTTCCTGGCTTTTCTTTATCTTAAAAGGTGATTTATCTGAAACTGTGGGCTTGAACCTAGGCAAAATACCCTACTTTCCCATTATAATAGTAAATATTTCCAGTATAGAGAGTGTTGTCCTTAATGAGTACATTTTAAAGGCGTTAGACAAAATTAGATCTGTCTTTGCCAACTCTTACTATCTATCAGGTTACAATTCCACAAAGTAGGCTACTCACTTTCTTGTTATTCTAATCCAAATAATAAAAAGAACTCTTCTTCCAGTTCTTAGCAATTTTCCTAAGCCTCTGATCATTTTGAGTTCTAATCCTCCTTCAATTCTTTTAGGCCCATGTCTTCAGTTGTATTTGTTCTCGATTAGCTGACCCTCCATTTTTCCCATAAGATATTTTTCAATGAATCTCCAAAACTTTAAAACCATGGAAGAATGATTGCAAATTGGCAAAGTGTTATAGCTGTGAAGAAGTCGTCATCGCACACAGAGTTGATGGCAGCAAAAGTAGGCACAGACTTCCAGAAAGCTAATGACCAATATAAACAAAAGTAAAGTAAATACCCTCTGACTGACAATTCCATTTCCCAGAATTTAGCCCAAGAAAATAATCATGAAATAGTCCCATGATTTTGGTCCAGAGATACTCAATGCAATAATATTTGTGATAGTGGAAAATGTTAAACAACCTAAATGTTCAGCATGGTTTGAAAATAGCTAGTAGAAGAAATAAGGCATATTTTAATGGCTATCAGTTTTTCGGAAAGGTAAAAAAGTGCACCAGGAGGAATTAAAGGTTGAGATGCCTCATCCAAGTGGAAAAAGTACATCTATGTAGCTACATGACTGATTATTATTCAGCCACCAAATATGGTAGTATAGAAAATATATCCATCCATACATATGCATGTATCCACATATGTATCTAAGAGGATATAATTAAATTGTTACAAATAGTTATCTTTGAACCATTTTCACTTTCTTCTTTCTCTTTGTCCATATTTTATAAATTTCCTACAATGAATGTGTTCATTGTAGTCACTAATATTCTTCCCCCCCAAATTAACATTGACTTTTAAACATTAAATGAATGAGAATGTATACAAGGTGCCTCCCATATCTGCCAAGAACTTGAAATTCTATGAAATAATTCAAATTATCAAAGAATTATCAGTTTACTATACAAAGTTTTCAAGGCATGGCACCTTTTGTAGGGGGTTATCTTTTATAAAAAAATTTCCACTTCTACATTTATAGGTCAGTGATCATTTAATTGAGTCAATACTGGTTATGTGTGTATATGTGTGTAGTCACTTAGCCAATATGTGAATATTATTATCTTATGATAGAACACAGTATTCATTTATCATTTTATTGCCCTTAAATCTGCCATTATTTCATTTCTCATGCCTTATCTTTTGTGTTTCCTTTTCTCTCTTTTTCTTCATAAATAATGCCAGAAGTGGTATATTTAAACTGCAAAGAGGTTATTTTAATAACCTATAGGAAAAAATAGTCCAGCAATAGATAAGTACCTTAACAATCTGTGATAAAATCACATGTATTATCCACTTAAAATTATAAATATATAAACCCAAAAAAACATGGATTTTTTTTGTGAAATATGAGCAGAACCCATATCATACACACCTAAATTTCAACTAGGTAAAAATGTCTGATTATTAGCAAATATTTTAAGAAAATAACAGTATTGTAATTCCATTTAGAAAATCATTGGATTATTTGCATTTGGTATTTAAATTCATAGTAAAATAATTCATTATTAAAAAATAAGCTGTTTTACCATACTCTTCCTTCTCTCAGTCATATCTTGTGAGCCACCTCCAACCATATCCAATGGAGACTTCTACAGCAACAATAGAACATCTTTTCACAATGGAACGGTGGTAACTTACCAGTGCCACACTGGACCAGATGGAGAACAGCTGTTTGAGCTTGTGGGAGAACGGTCAATATATTGCACCAGCAAAGATGATCAAGTTGGTGTTTGGAGCAGCCCTCCCCCTCGGTGTATTTCTACTAATAAATGCACAGCTCCAGAAGTTGAAAATGCAATTAGAGTACCAGGAAACAGGAGTTTCTTTACCCTCACTGAGATCATCAGATTTAGATGTCAGCCCGGGTTTGTCATGGTAGGGTCCCACACTGTGCAGTGCCAGACCAATGGCAGATGGGGGCCCAAGCTGCCACACTGCTCCAGGGGTGAGTGTGACCCATCAAGACTTTGCTGGGTGTGAGGGTACGTATAGATGATAGGAGTTGTTGAAATTAAGGAAGAAGTGTATAAGGACTATGAAATTGGCATAAACATAATAGTAGCTTCACTGTCTGTTATCTCTGTTAATAATTGTCTCAAAGTAATGGCTTATTCTCTCATCTATAGTAGACATATTTTAGATGCATTTTTGAATTTAACATTTACAGCAAATATATGAAGTAGCTACTATTGGTATCCCCATTTTACTTTGAGAGAACTGAGTCTTAGTGATATTAAAGAACTTTTCCAAGGCTCTGACTCCAGAGCCTAATCATAATGTACAGTGGAATGTATCATGAACAATAATGTGTAATAGTGATGATCGTATCTCTATCCCTGGAGTGGGGCAGTAGGCAAGTGAGCCATGAGGACCAAAATGAGAGCATCAAATCAAAAAGGCCTTGGACTTCAACTTCAACTTTTTCTCATTATAATTGAAAAGACTGAAGCTCAGAAAAAGTGTTTTGCTCAAATCCAAACAAATATATATATATGTATATACACACACACACATATATACTTGATATATAATTATATATTGTTCAGATTGAGGCTCAAATTCATTCTTTGAGGTTTTTTGATTGTTTGTTTGTTTGTATGTTTGTTTGAGAGAAGGTCTCGCTCTGTTGCCCAGGCTGGAGTACAGTTGTACAATCATAGTTCACTGAAGCCTCTAACTCCTGGGCTCAAGTAAGACCTCTGCCTCAGTCTCACAGGTAGCTGGAACTCCAGGTGCTCACTACCACACCTGGCTAATTTTTATTTATTTTTAGAGACAGAGTCTTGCTATGTTGCCCAGGCTGATCTTGAGCTCCCGTCCTCAAGCAATCCTCCTGCCTCAGCCTCCCAAAGTACTGGGATTTCAGGCCTGAGCCACCATGCCTAGTTTCAAATGCATTCTGATGCCCTGAGAACACACCAATTGTCCTGTGGATGGAGGCAGCCAACATTTCGGTTAAAATACGGTCTAAGCAATATGTTCTATCACTAAAAAGTCTGTAGCTTTTTTTTCTTTGAGGGGGGGTTGTTCTTTTTGTTTATTTTTAATTTATTAATCTTTAATTTTTGTGGGTACATAGTAGGTGTATATATTTATGGGTATATGAAATGTTTTGATACAGGCATGCAATGTAAAATAATCATGGAGAATGAGGTATCCATGCCCTTAAGCATTTATCCTTTGTGTTACAAATAATCCAATTACACTCTTTCATTTTTAAATGTACAATTAAGTTATTACTAACTATAGTCACCCTGTCATGCTATCAAATACTACATCTTATTCATTCTTTCTTTTTTTTTTTGTACCCATTAACTGTCCCCACCTCCCCTCCCTACCCTCACCCCCTATCCCCACGATTTTGTTCTTGATGCCTCCTCTTTTCTTAGCTGAAATGACTGGCTTAAAACATGGAGTGGGAAGAATTAGGACTGGTCACAGGGACAGAAAGGAAGCTAACAGTTCAGCCCTGTGCTGACTGAAAGAGGGTCAGGGAGTGTGGAAAATGAAGAATACGTGAAGGTGTCTGTTAGATGAGACCTTGGCAACAGTACTCCTTGCTGTTGCCTTACGCATGAGCTTGAGGGACTGCCTCTGTAGGAAGTGGAAGAGTGGCCAAACCACCCGCACTCACGACTCTGTGCTCCATAACCAGTAGTTGAAAGCAAGAGGAATATGCTGCCTTATAGTCTTTGGAACATGTTTCAGTAGAAAAAACACAGACAAGGTGTTGGAGAGACTTTGATTCTAGTCACAGTTCTGCTTGGTTTCCTTAGCTTCCTTGTTAGTGAGATGTGGCTACTGAACTACCAATCTTCTCTTTTAATAGCTGCACTCTGCAATGACGATTTTTAAGCCCTCTGGTAAGCATAAGATATAACAAAGGAAATTGCCCCATATCTAACAAGTGCTCTGGAACTGTCCTTTCCACAGTGTGTCAGCCGCCTCCAGAAATCCTGCATGGTGAGCATACCCTAAGCCATCAGGACAACTTTTCACCTGGGCAGGAAGTGTTCTACAGCTGTGAGCCCAGCTATGACCTCAGAGGGGCTGCGTCTCTGCACTGCACGCCCCAGGGAGACTGGAGCCCTGAAGCCCCTAGATGTACAGGTGCCTTGACTCTCTGGCTTCCAGATTGCTCTGTTTTCCCCTTCACATGGAGGACTTACTCCTGTTGTTTTATTTTTTCTTCTAGTGAAATCCTGTGATGACTTCCTGGGCCAACTCCCTCATGGCCGTGTGCTACTTCCACTTAATCTCCAGCTTGGGGCAAAGGTGTCCTTTGTTTGCGATGAAGGGTGAGTGTGACCCAGCGTTGAGACCAAGGACTCAGTGTGGAGAATCACTCTCTTGAGATCAGGGGTTAATCCAATTAAGGAGCTGACCTAGTAGATAAGAAGTACCCAGAGAGATTAATTTATGGAAGGGTAGTTTTGAAATAAGGGTAGGGACTAAGTGGCACCACTTTCAGAAGGCAATGAGAAAATGGCACATACAGCTCAATGTCAGGTACAAACCTAAATACAGTCACTGATCTTGAGTACACAGTTGGAACTTGAAATGAATGGGTACGTATTTATTTGGAGGCAAAAGAACATAATTTTATAAGAGGTATGCTAGAAAATAAATGATGAATAAGACAAAAATTGTTTGCCCCATAAGAAGTAAGGTAGAGGTTGTCTTAAGAAACTTAAAACCAATCAATAGTGGAATCTGTAATAGTGCATGGATAAGTGTGTTTTAACCCAATAATATATCTTCAGGTCAGGAATGGCCAGTGTAATTCTTTTAATGCAGGATTTTTCTCAGCCACTTTGCCAGCCAGTGACTTCTGGACAGCAATGCCCCTGCCCAGGCCTTGCTTGGGCCCAGGCTCACCGCAGGAAACACCCCAGATACTTAGCCCACTGGGCGGCGTCTGGCTGGTGCTCTGACTGGGACCCTGGGGCCACCATGACTGCACACTCAGCCCCTGGTGGGAGGGGATGTGTGAGTGAGTGAGTGTGGGGTCCAGCTGGCCACTCCAAGCACCTGCACAGGAATGGGCTCTGAGCAGTGCTGGCGGCTGGACCAGGCATGTCGCACTGAAGGGAACGTGGTGGTGCCCAAACAGGGGTGCCCATGACCCCAAAGCCCAGAGGAGGTGTTACAGCACACTAATGGCTCTTAGCATTTGATAATGCCTGCAGCCCAACAGATGACAGTGTGCTTAACAGCTCTGTCAATCCTGTCGCCCCACATCTCCTGTCGCCCAGCTCTGGCTTGATCCGCTGCTGCTTCCTTTCGCGTGGTACAGCTGCCCTCCCACAGCAGAGGGCGGAGGGCCACAGTGTTACAGGCTTCTTTGTACCTGCGTTTGGTGGGTCCTGAGTTGTTGTCCCGCATCCAAGAAGAACAAGGTTATACTGACAATAGAAGGGTGAGGAGGGTGGAGAAGAGTTTTATTGAGTGACAAAACAGCTTCTCAGCGGAGACGAGACACGAGGGTGGACCCCAGATGAAGTCAGGGGGTCATTCTCTCTCTCAGCGTGGCTGGTTCTGGGGCTTTTATGGACACAGAATGGGGAGCCTGTGCTGATTGGTTTGTGACTATGCAAAAAAGACTAAAACAAAGACACCACTCAAAGGTGGGCACAACAGTGTAAAAAACCAATTAGGGAAGCTCAGGTATATGTAAACTAAATGAACAGTGAGGATCAATCAGAGGAAAGCACACCAAATGGGAAGAGAGGTTCTCAAACCAGTCCATGGATTTACCTGGAACTTGTAGCTAGGCTTTAAACTGTCTTCAGCTTGAAGGTCGGGTTTCACCGGGATCTGCCCCATCTGCCTAGGATTTGTCTGCCTCCTGCTTCTATCAGTTTCAAGTGGTATTATTAGTTGTTTATGTGTATCCATTACTCTTGGTGGTGTGCACTATGAGTCTGGAGGGATAACTAGATTGGGCAATTAAGCAGTTATTTTTAATGATTTCCAAAGAATCTTCGGCATTTACAAAGTCCACCACCTAATAATGATTTCCAATTTCAGAATGATTTCAGATTTCAGAAGGCAAGCAGGATTCAATAAGTTGGGCATTTTGGGGTGCAAAGACTCTTCCCCCCTCCCTTCTTTTTTTCTTAGAGCACGTGGTTCAGCATGCTTCTGTGAGCCTCCTCTGGCCTGTTACAGTTGTAGTAGCAAGAAGAACAGTGCCCGTTCTCTTTCTAGATGTTCCTGGCTTTGCTTACCAAATCGAGAGCTGTTCTGCCTCATGACCCACTAATGAGAATAAGTGGGATGTCAGAGAGCCATCAGTGAAAGATGACACCTGAAGGTTATGGCTCTTGTGCCCATGGAGAAGTATGGTTCTGTGTTCATGCCTTCTGTAGGTGATGCTGGGCTATGAAGTTTATATGGCAATTATGCACATCAGCTCTAATTGCTTTGCCAGTCACAGGGTACCATGGTTCTTTAGAATAAATTGGCCTTTGAGTTTCTGTCAGCTACTGAAGAATTCAGATCCCTAATGAACTAAGACTTTTAGCTGGGCCTGAACCTAAGACCTAAATGATAGTCGAGGAGGAAATGGTAGTGAGGAAGCTGAGCATCTATTAGCGAAGAAATCAAGGGAGAGATGGGAATTGCTCACACATTTGCTACCACTTTTTTTTTCTTTAGGTTCCGATTAAAAGGCAGGTCTGCTAGTCATTGTGTCTTGGCTGGAATGAAAGCCCTTTGGAATAGCAGTGTTCCAGTGTGTGAACGTGAGTAGAAAGAACTATGTAGTTTGGATAGCTCTCCTTATTTTCGTTTTCCAGCATGTTTTTCCGCATGGCATCACCTGTTGTCTAGATCTTTACTTAACTAAATTATGGATAAAAATACTTCTTTGTTGGAAGAATTTCAAGAAGGGTCTTGTAGGTCTTCTCTGACATGTGTTTTTGTTACTAATCTGCAAATCACTTAGTTTAATGACTGTTTAATTTTGTGGGGAATGTGTGGCAAGAAACTAGATGACATAAAGGTGCAGCACGTTTTAGTCAGTCATTTATTTTTAGTTTTCTTATCAAGGAGGAATCTTTCTTAAATTTTTATTTTTATTTTTATTTTCTGAGACACTGTCACCCAGGACAGAGTGGAGTGGTGCAATCACAGCTCACTGCAGCCTCAACCTCCTGGGCTCAAATGACCCTCGCACCTCAGCCTCCCAGTAGTTGGGACTACAGGTGCATGCCACCACACCTGGCTAATTTTTGTACTTTTTGTAGAGATAGAATCTCGCCATATTGCCCCAGCTGGTCTCAAACTCCTGGGCTCAAGCTATCCTCCCACCTTGGCCTCCAAAAGTGTTAGGATTACAAGTGCGAGCCACCATGCCCAGCCAAATTTTTATGTTCTTTTATCCCCTCGCATATCATAAACAATTTAGTCAGCTTGTTTTTTAGCCTGCAGTATTTAATGACATAGGGCTTCCCATGTGCCAGGACTTTCCATGTGTAGAAAAAGCAATGAATAGTGAATGAATAGTGAAGACACCTCCCTACTTTCCTGGGATGTATTTTCTTGTTGGGAAGCAGACTATGAACAAGGAAATAAATAAGTAAACAAAATTCTAAAAATTATAACATATAAAATGGTAGTTAAATAGGGATGTTATGGAGAAAATAAAACAGAGTTATATGATAAATTAGTACGATGGAAGGAGCTGGGATGATGAATCAGTGTCTGAAATGATGAGGTGTCCTAAGTTTCCAAACCATCCGCTTAAATAAAATATGCCAAAATTCAGAAAAAATTCAGAAACTCTTAGATAAAAGTACATGTTTGACATACCAAGACATTACTGATTGATTCTATTCTGTCTACTAAAGCAAGGCAAGAATTTTTTAAACCTTGTTTTCCTGATTATTAGAAAATGTTTATTTTAATTTGTATTGTGTTAAAATAACTTATAGAAATCAATTTGGATACCTTATGGTGAGTATTATGGTGAAGAACATTCAATACCTGAGGAAACTCAAGTATTCAACAAACTCAACCTTACAGAGACACATAGAGCTGAAAATAAATATATAAATAAACTTAGGAAAACACAAACAGGTAAAATTCAAGCATGAGAAGTCAATCATTGTTTGATGTACTAGGTCTTTTATATACACATAATTCTGATAAATTTGGGTATCTCTTCCTAAATTCATATCAAACTAGAAGCATCAATTGCTTTTAGGGAAGGAACTGTTCTAAGCAGACTAAAAGGAGGAAGAAATGGTGGCTAATAATTGGAAGAAATCAAAAAAGGCTCTTTGGCACCATTTAATCTGAGTAAAAACAGCCTTACTGGTGTCTGATGACACCACTGGAAATTTGGTATTGGTCCTGATGGTAATGGTCTTGAATCACCAAGAAACATTTACATTGCTAAAGATGATAGCTCATGTTTATTAAAGTTCATAGATTTCCTTGAAACTTATGGTCTCTGATGACCAAAACTTTGTCTGTCTTGAACCTCATTGTCAACTCAGGAATCTTACTATGCCTGAGTTAAAGTAGACAACCAAATGGGTGTTTTTAAAAAAAATAAAAACAATTACTTTCCAAATTCATTGTGAACATAGGTACCTGAGTGGTCCAGGAACACTGTCTTTGGGCTTTTGCAATAAACTGTAATTTAGGTCTCACTTCAGTTAGTTGCCTCTCAACAAAAGCCTTACAGATTTAAATTCCGTCTACCTTAGTTATATTCTTTCTAAAAGTTATATTCTTTTTAAGCGCACAGTCACAGGTCACTATTGTTTCAGTCATCTTAAGTGAAATTCTAATAGAACTTAAAGCTCTTGTTTTCTTTCTAGAAATCTTTTGTCCAAATCCTCCAGCTATCCTTAATGGGAGACACACAGGAACTCCCTTTGGAGATATTCCCTATGGAAAAGAAATATCTTACGCATGCGACACCCACCCAGACAGAGGGATGACCTTCAACCTCATTGGGGAGAGCTCCATCCGCTGCACAAGTGACCCTCAAGGGAATGGGGTTTGGAGCAGCCCTGCCCCTCGCTGTGAACTTTCTGTTCCTGCTGGTTAGTACCTGCTTCCACATATCCTAAATGGGTTCAGAATATCTAGGTAAGAACCTCCATATTTCTATAGTGACAGTCATTTTTGCTTGTGAAAATGGCTTTGCTGTAACTGTCAGAGACAGAACTACCTCCCAAGTGAATGACAAACGGGTTATAGATAGGCACGCTGTCTCAATTGTTGGTATTCTGATGGTCCTTCCTATGGGGTGAAGAGTGTGGGATGGTAAGGAGAGAAGGGGGTGGACAGTGAAGAGAATTGATGAGGTCCAGATTTAGTAGGGAATGTTTTCAAAGTACTGAAAACAAATGCTAAAGAAAATACTCTTTTATTCCACCTCTACTACTACGAGTTATCTTTATCCTGGAGAGATGGATGTGCTGTGCAAAAAGTACACATTGATGATGTAATTTACTTCAGAACTGATAACGCTATAAAAGTAATTTGAGAAACTCAGATGTAGGGATTTATACTTTTTATGTTGTTTCCAAGGGTTTGTTCAAGCCACTGACTATGTTTGTTTGATCCTTCACCTCAACATTAACAAAGGGAACTCAGGAGGCCCTGGAGAAGCAGAGTTTAAAATTGTACTCTTAGCCTAATGGGTGCAGCAAACCAATATGGCACATGTATACCTATGTATCAAACCTGCACATTGTGCATATGTACCCTAGAACTTAAAGTATATATATATATATATATATATATGTGTGTGTGTGTGTGTGTGTGTGTGTGTGTATGTGTGTATATATATATGTGTATATATATGTGTGTGTGTATATATATATATATATATATATATATATATATATAGAGAGAGAGAGAGAGAGAGAGAGAGAGAGAGAGAGAGAGAGAGAGAGAGATTGTACTCTTAGCCTCCATAGCTCATTCCTTTGATATATTAGTCTGGCTTTAAACGACAGTACCTGACAACTGTAGGCACATGTGTGGCTGTGACTGCCCACACCAGTTCCATCTTCCAGTAAGGACAGAACAGCACTGAATCGGTAGCTTGTCGATCCCTGTGGTACTCCCCCATCTGATCTAGTTTGAAGTTAGAGACTGTAGAGGATAGTGTTTAAATGTCAAGAGGTCTAGGTTTAGAGAACCCGTCTTTCACTGATCAAATAGGAGGGAGTGGCTTATGACCTGGCTGGTTGAGGTCTTCATGTACCTCTAATAGCCAGAGATATTGGATGTGTTCATGTATTCATATGTCTATGTTTAACTGAGTGTCTTTTCTTGTGTTTGTGTGGGAACTTGTTCTTAGCCTGCCCACATCCACCCAAGATCCAAAACGGGCATTACATTGGAGGACACGTATCTCTATATCTTCCTGGGATGACAATCAGCTACATTTGTGACCCCGGCTACCTGTTAGTGGGAAAGGGCTTCATTTTCTGTACAGACCAGGGAATCTGGAGCCAATTGGATCATTATTGCAAAGGTGACTTATTTCTTGGTATTCCTTATTCTTGCTGGGTTGTATGGAATGCATGAGGCTTGTAAGGCTGAGAGACATTGAAATGAGCTTAATGAAAGGGATAATATTTTTTTCTTCTCGGCAACTGCTTTCTTTTCATTTACATAAAATTATTTCATCTTATTAACTGTCCTCTTTGCATGGTCGATAGCAGTGCTTCTCCATCCAGAGCATTAACAAAATCACCTTGTTAAAAAGATTCTCAAACTCCATTCCATGGCCTCTGATTCTGTTTTAAAGTGGGGTCAAAAGTCTATTTTTAACAAACTCATCAGAATGCTCTGATGCAGGAAGACCACAGACCACACTTCAAGAAATACCACTTTGCCTTCTTGGTTTGTATCTAGGAAAAAAATATTGTAGGCTTAATTTTGAGACTATTACAACTGAAAAGAAGTCTGTGCTTGAAGATGAAGGATGTACTGATGGCTGGGCAGAAAAAGAAAGTAAAACAAAGGATAAGTTAAACAAAATAAAGTAGTCTGGGTGCGGTGGCTCACACCTGTAATCCCAGCACTTTGGGAGGCTGAGGCGGGAAGATCATGTCAAGAGATCGAGACCATCCTGGCCAACATGGTGAAACCCCGTTTCTACTAAAAATACAAAAATTAGCTGGGTGGTGGTGCGCGCCTATAGTCCCAGCTACTCGTGAGGCTGAGGCATGAGAATCACTTGAACCCAGAGGCAGAGGTTGCAGTGAGCTGAGATCACGCCACTGCACTCCAGCCTGGCAACAGAGCAAGACTCCGTCTCAAAAAAAAAAAAAAAAAAAGAAAAGAAAAGAAAGTAAATTAATTAGAAAGATGTATTAAATTCAGGCTGGGCACGGTGGCTCAGGCCTGTAATCCCAGCACTTTGGGAGGCCAAGGTGGGCAGATCACCTCAGGTCAGGAGTTCGAGACCAGCCTGGCCAACATGGTGAAACCCCGTCTCTACCAAAAATACAAAAATTAATCAGGCATGGTGGTACATGCCTGTCGTCCCACCTACCCGGGAGGCTGAAGCAGGAGAATTGCTTGAACCCAGGAGGTAGAGGTTGCTGTGAGCCCAGATCGCGCCACTGCACTCCTGCCTGGGTGACACAGTGAGACTCAAAAAAAAAAAAAAAAAAGAAAAAGAAAAAGAAAGAAAGATAAATTTTAAATTCACAATCATGATTTACTAACTTCTTTGTTCTATGTGCAGAAATTGGCCAGAATTATGCATTTAATAAAGAGCAGAGTGCCAGTATTTGTTGTGAAGCCAGACAGAATTAACATGGTACTCCTGTTCCCTCACAGCGTGACCCCAGTGGCTCCAGGGCTAGATCACCGTTAGCCTAATTCCTAATCTTTCCACAGCTTTCCAGTTGCAGAGCTGTTAATCAACAGTGAATGCACAGTACATTCCATATTCTATTACTTTACATTAAGAAATGGGAGTCAGGAAATGTTAAATCATAAGGTTTTTGGAGGAGGAAGATTAGTAACATGTTTAAAAACATGCTTCCTCTTAGCCAAGGGCAAAATAGGTTTTGGCTATTTTCTCCTATTCTCGCAGTTAAAACGGACAATCAACAATAAAATATCAATTTCTTTCTGATTTGTCTAATTTCAGAAGTAAATTGTAGCTTCCCACTGTTTATGAATGGAATCTCGAAGGAGTTAGAAATGAAAAAAGTATATCACTATGGAGATTATGTGACTTTGAAGTGTGAAGATGGGTATACTCTGGAAGGCAGTCCCTGGAGCCAGTGCCAGGCGGATGACAGATGGGACCCTCCTCTGGCCAAATGTACCTCTCGTAAGTGCAAGTGCAAGGAATGTGGGATCTTCCCGGTCATGGTTATTGCTCATTCATTCATCCATATTGGCATCAAGTGTAGTGTGATGTTTATGGCATATGCTATGAGCTATAGAGTACAATATGAGCATCCACCTATTCCAAAACTCCCATAGTGAGAGTAAGGCCAGACTTCCTCTTCTCATACTTCTCACTGCAGCTCTGCACCTTTTTTGTCTATATCACTTTGTGGTTGCATGAGCCACACAGTAATGATTTATTTACAGCCTACGAGCCTTACAAGAAATGTTTTCAGCATGAGTTAGGGAGCACCTTCCAAGCTGCAGAGAGCAGCCGGCCTGTCTCCCTCACTACTGGAGGGGACAGGATTTTAAGCTAGCACAGCTGGATAGAGCAGATTTAGAAATTACGTATCATTGAGCTCTGTAGAAGAGTAGCCCTCTGCTGGCAACTGGAAGGTACTGTAAGATAGAAAACTACCCACATCATGGAGCAGATGAGCAAAGTTAATAATGAACAGCCTTTCTTAATCCAAGTTAGTGCTACACTTTCCCTTCTCCCCATCTCTTATGACTCTTCTAATACATGGTTCTACACCAAGATTGTTCAAGATCCAGTTTTACAATTAATCCTGTAAATATGCTAATATGACTCGCAGATAATATTTCTAAATTATCAGCTTGACACTCCCTTAATATCAAATTATATTTGCTTTTTTGGCAAAAATCTCACTGGATAACTTACTAAATGCTTTTAGAGTATTCTGAAGATCTGGCTGGGACTGACAGAAAATTCAGGTCATTGGAGAACCAACCGTATCAAATATTAGAACAAAATATAAAGCAATAATACAAAAGTCACTTTGCACCAGGATAAGAAGAGACATACAAATAAGTGGAACAAAATTGATATTAATAAAATAAAGGGGCCAGGTATGGTGGCTCATGCCTGTAATCCCAGCACTTTGGGAGGCCGAGGCGGATGGATCACCTGAGGTCAGGAGTTTAAGACCAGCCTGGCCAACATGGTGAAACCCCATCTGTACTAAAAAATAAAAAAATTAGCTGGTCGTGGTGGCAGATGCCTGTAATCCCAGCTACTCAGGAGGCTGAGGCAGGAGAGTCGCTTGAACACGGGAGGTGGAGGTTACAGTGAGCCGAGATCGCTCCATTGCACTCTGGTCTCGGTGACAAGAGCAAAACATTTTTTAAAAATTGTCCATTAAATTAACAATAAAAAGGTTGTTAGGTGAACACCCAATACAAAGCAAGGATGTGATGAAACTGATATTGTTGTGTGTTGAAGGTACTATTGTAAATTTGCAAAAACTCTTATGAAAAACAATTATGAAATGTATGTGGAAAATAATACAACTATTCCTGCCAGTTAGCCCTCCTAGAAATTTAATCTAAGGAAATAATGTAAAATATTAAAATATTCTATGCATTTTATTAAGGGTTTCATGAGACAGAAACCTAGAAACAAGCTAAATGCACAATAGAAGTCATTGAATACACTATGATGCATCTACTAGATTATGTTAGTTTGCCTTTGTTGTAACTTATATTTCTAGTATATAATTATGTGAAAACACACATATAAGGAAATGTACCAGAACAGAATGTATCAAAACATTTTTTGGGTATGAGGATTGGGGTGACTTTTTTCTTTAGTTCTGTATTATAAATTTTCTTCTGTAATTGTATTAATAATAATTTTTAAAAGTCTTCTCTGAGTGCAGAAGGTAAAATGAGAGTATGTGAATGAAACCAATGGCTTTTTGCATTAGAAAAAATATTAGACTGAGTCCTGAAGAAAAATCAGGATGACTTGTCACTGGCTGAGAGGTCCTGTTCAATCATGTTGCATGCCAGAGTGATGTTTTGTGACTTTTGTCTTCCTTTTAGGTACACATGATGCTCTCATAGTTGGTAAGTTTTATGAAAGTTTTGCTGAGGAATTCTGGCATCTATAACAGTAAGTACCTACCTATAATGAATGAAATGTAAAAAGAGAGATCAAAATGTCTTGAGGTGTAAAGAGATCAAAATATCTTCAGTTGTAAGTTCAACTAGAAAGAAAATAATGATAAGTTAGGCCACAATATGGTGAAACTGGCATCGTCATATGCATACTAAATAACCTTCATCAAAGGCTCTTTACTATCTTTGAACCATTACAAATGAATAATCATTCATCAGTGTCAAAAATTCTTTATTTGAATGTGGTGGGAGAATGCAACTTCTTCTTTCAGTTGTAACCTGGAGTATGCTTCCAGATGGTGATCCTGCTCATTTGCACAAATAGAAAGCCATAAGACCAGTCTTCTGAGCCCATATCTGTGATTTGCCTAAATAAGAATAGTTTTGTAATAAAGTTTGCTTCCAAGGGAATACTGTGGCATATTACTCTTACATCCCTTTTTACGCATCTGGACACTGAGACACAGAGAGTTAACGTAACTTGTCCAAGACCACAGAATGGGGTAGCCTGGGTCTACTTATCTGTGGAGACTGTGCACTTTAACAATCAATAAATGGACAAAATGACCTAAATATGTAATTCAACAAGAGAGAGAATTCCAGTATTTTCACAATGAAATGCCTGTGTGTTAAGTCTTAGGCAAGAGACATGGGCAGGGCCATGGAGAGCTGGTGGCCAGCTGCCCCATCACGGTTCTCACTTACTTTTGGAAAAGCTGACATTGGACTAAACGTTACAAAACGGCTCAGCTCACACCTTAACTTTAATAACCCTGTGGGAGTGAGACTAATGCTATAGAAACCCAGAGTAAAGCAGAATGTATAGTTACATCTTTAAAAAAAAAAAAGCATTGGCAATCTGTAGTGGGACTGGATACTAAGATAGAATTTAAAACCTGTAAGTTATATTTTCCATGCATTTAATTACCTTGTTTTACTGCCTAGGCACTTTATCTGGTACGATCTTCTTTATTTTACTCATCATTTTCCTCTCTTGGATAATTCTAAAGCACAGAAAAGGGTAAGTATAGCCATATTATCCCAAGAAATGTAAACTGTACTTACCCCCTCTTGGAAGTCAAAAGAAAGTAAAAGACAAACAAACCCATTGCTACATAAACAGATGTGGTAATTCTTATAAAGAAAGTCCTTGACACACAGTATAGACAAAGAGGTATTCACACTAAAGGAAGTATATAGGATACTAAGAACAATTAAAAAATAATAATAATAACAAAAAAAAAGACCATTTGGCCAGGTATGGTGACTCATGCCTGTAATTTCAGCACTTTGGGAGGCCAAGGTGGGCAGATCACTAGAGGCCAGGGGTTCGAGACCAACTTGGGCAACATGGTAAAACCCTGTCTCTACTAAACATACACAAAATTAGCTGGGCGAGGTGGGACACACAACTGTAATACCAGCTACTCGGGAGGTTGAAGCATGAGAATTGCTTGAACCCAGGAGGCAGAGGTTGTAGTGAGCCAAGACTGTGCCATTGCACACCAGCCTGGGTGACAGAGTGAGACTACATCTCAAAACACACACACACACACACACACACACACACACACACACACACACACACACAGCATTTTAAGAAGGAATTGAGTTTTACAGAAAGAGAAAGTAGGCAGAAGGGGTTTTTAAATAGTTGTTCATGAGGCTGTTTGATATCCTAGTTTTGCTAAGACATTGCAGACACTGACCTCTAAGCCCAGATCCTATCATAGCACTAGAAGTTAGATTGGGTCACTTATGGCACACATATCATATGGCACACATAGGCTGCCAGTGGGGAAGAATTGAAACTTTCCATTGGGTATTTTAATATATAAACAAATATTTTGTAAACACCATTAACTTTTTTTTTTTTTTTTTTTTTTTTTTTTTTTTAAGACCGAGTCTTGCTCTGTCACCCAGGCTGGAGTGCAGTGGCACGATCTTGGCTCACTGCAACCTCTGCCTCCCAGATTCAAGCGATTCTCATGCCTCAGCCTCCTGAGTAGCTGGGACTACAGCCATACGCCACTACACCAGGCTATTTTTTGTATTTTTAGTACAGAAAGGGTTTTGCCATCTTGGCCAGGCTGGTCTTGAATTCCTGACCTCAAGTGATCCACCCGCCTCAGCCTCCCAAAGTGCTGGGATTACAGGTGTGAGCCACTGGGCCCAGCCATCATTAATTTTTTAAATTTGAAAGAAAAAAAACTTGCAAAGACTAAGATCTGAATAAAGAAACGTCTTTGACAGGGAAGAGAACCTACACAGCTTTTGTACTGGTTGATTGAATTATAACAACCTCAATGAGGCCAGAATCAATAATATCAATGTTATATGGTTGATGAGCAAGTTCTATACCCATAGAAAAACTGAATTTGTAACTTTTAAGTGAACGGTTTTCTATAGCAAATATTCTAAACAAGTACAGTTTCCTACAACAAGCTTTACAGAAACTGAAGTTTTGATATTTCACAAAGATGCCAATATACTTTTTAAAAAGTAGTTTGTCATAGTAGATCTTGCTGTAAAGAACCTAGACAGGAACTCAATTTCATGGAAAAATACTGAATTGGTAGATATTTAAATTTAAATATCCATCCTTCCTAACTAATGTTCTCTATATTTTACGGCTTGACATATATTCTTTGCTCTTTTCCATTACAAAAAGAAAAGGTAAGTAGCTGGGCACTTTACCTTAACAAAGTACTTGTGTCAATACATTTTTCCTCTTAAAGTTTCTCATTAAGTACCATATAATTAGTGAGTTAATTTTTTAAAAAATTACTACTACGTCTGAATTAAAGGAGTTGGGGCTTCTAATTTTCTGTATCTATATCAGTCTCTAGTTAAAACCACACAGGGGAAATGATTATCCCTTCTTCTTGGAAGTATTCAAGATACTTTAATATCTTGAAGATATTTGATTATCTCCACCCTTCTAACTATGTCATTCTTCATTACTTATGGTCCATTCCTTGTTAATCAACTAGAGGGTCACACTCCCAAGCCTAACTATTGATTTGTTTCACCTACATAATTTAAGATCATTTCCTCATATTAATCACCTTCAGGCATAAACATGACTCAATAACCATTTCATAAAATTATTTCTTTGGAAATGATTGTCTTGTAAAGTCTAAGCAACCTGAGACCATATACCATTTCTTCATGTTTTCCATCTCGTAAAACCTGCCTCCTATTTTTTTCATATTCTTTAAAGTGTAATGTCCATGGCACAACCATTCTCTCTCTGACCAGTGGCTACCAGAAATGTGGCAGAAAGAAAGATCATGATCCTCGTTAGACTTAAAGGTCAGGGATGTAAACCTCCCAAACATCTATGTAACCCACACTAAAACCTATTCTATATGTGTAATCCAGGAAAGTTTTTAAACATTTTCTAAACTTTTACTTTTGACCTGTTTCACTTCTTGGGATTGTAACTGCCTGATGTGTTCTTCCTGCCTGTCATACAGACAAAACCAGTTCCCTGAGATAATGGCATATTGCAGTAAAGAAAGAGATGAATTAATACAAGGCCAGTCACGTGGAAGAACTGGAGTTATCACTCAACTCAGTCTCCCCAAGAACACAGGGGCTAGGGTTTTTATAGATCATTTGGTAGGAAGGGAGCTAGGGAATGGGTACTACTGATTGGTTGGGGATGGGGGTGTGGGAAATGTTCCTCATGTGCTGTGTCCACCTCTGGTTGGGGGCCACAGGACCAGTTGAGTCATGAGTCACAAGTCCAGGTAGAGTCAGTCAGTTGCCAAATGCAAAAACCTGAAAAACATCTCAGAAGACCAATCTTATATTCTACATAGTGATGTTATCTATAGGAGCAATTAGGGAAGTCACAAATCTCTGAGCAGTAATGGATTATAAAACCTATGCCTATATTTTAGCAGAGTTCAGGTCCCTCTCCTAATCCTAATCTCTTGGCCTTTCATTAGGTTTCAGGTCCTGAGCAAGGAGAGAGCTAGTTTTAGGAAGAGACTGTTATTATCCTTGCTCCAAAGTTACATTATAAACTAAATTCCTTTCATGGTTAGCTTGGCCTACACCCAGGAATGAGCAAAGCCGGCCCACCTGTGAGGCTAGAAGCAAGATGAAGTCAGCCATGTTAGATTTCTTTCACTCTCAGAATCTTTGCAAAGGTGGTTTCAGCATAGTGAGTGCATTTATCTAACAAAACACCACTGATTTTCATGTTAGAAATAACACATAGCTAAAACTGGGAAAAAGAAGTAATAAACTTAAATAATCAGAAGGCAGAGGTCCCTTCTTTCGGAAGGAGTTGGGCTGATTAATCATGCAGTCATACCTCCTTGAGTGGGTGTGGCCAATAAGCTAAGTCATTGTGGCTATGTGAGGAGGGCTGATTATTCCTTATCTGGAGCTCAAGCTTTCCTCACAGAAAGACAAGGGCATAAAGGGCCTCATGGCAAAGAAGAAGGAAGCCATGTGGGAAACACAGAATATGAGTGGAGAGTATCGTAGTGGTCACCAAGTCAGAAGAGCCATTTATCCTGGAGCTAAAAAAGACTGACAGATATAGAATAGTGTAGAACAAGATGGCCTGCTCTATGGGAGAGCCACAGTCACACCAGGCCTAGAGAGGTGCAGGCTGACTTCTACCTCAAACACTGGAGACAATTCAGAAGCTGCATAAGCAGTCTGAAGACTTACTAAGAAACTAAAATGAGGCTGGGTGCGATGGCTCAGGCCTGTAATCCCTGCACTTTGGGAGGCTGAGGCGGGTGGGTCACCTGAGGTCAGGAGTTGGAGATCAGCCTGGCCAAGATGGCAAAACCCTGTCTCTACTAAAAATACAAAAATTAGCCTGGTGTAGTGGCACATGCCTGTAGTCCCAGCTACTCAGGAGGCTGAGGCAGGAGAATTGCTTGAACCCAGGAGGTGGAGGTTGCAGTGAGTTGAGATTGTGCCACTGCACTCCAGCCTGGGCAACAAAGGCAAAACTCCATCTGAAAAACATAAATAAATAAATTAAATAAAATAAAACAAGAAAAGAAACTAAAGTGATAGAGAAATAGAAGGAATACACACACAGAAATGATCTCACCTTCTTTAAAATGCTCCTCAAGGAGGTCTACTTTAACTATCCTAGTAAAGATGACATGACCCCACCCCCACATTCCTAGTCTCTCTTATCCTGCTTTATTTTTTTCATAGCCTTATTCTCTTTTATTATAATTAATTAAATAATTACATTCCATGTTTATTCTCTCTCTCCCTCCATGAAGTCGGGGATTTTTGTCCTATCTTCACCAATGGATACACAACAAATCTAAACTGTCCCTGGGACAAAGAGAGTCTCAATAAATATTTATCAAATGAATGAGTGAGCTACACACCACTAACAGTGTTACCACAAGGGGAAATTTCTGCCGTAATTCTCTACCAAGTTGAACAGTGCGTCTTTAACTTGTCCTAAACTTACTCCAGGTTTCAAGGCTGCTCCTTGTTCTAATATACCAACTGTCTCAGTCTGTTGGTATATATACTTGGGCAGTTATAACAGAAACTCCATAGACTGGGTGGATTCAATAAGCATTTAAGCTGGGTGCAGTGGTACCTGCCTATAGTCCCAGCTATCTGGGAGGCTGAGGCAGGAGTACTGCTTGAGCCAATGAGTTTAAGGCCAGCCTGGGCAATATGGTAAGACCATGTCCCTAAAAAACATTATGTCATTTCTAAAAACCAAGCATTTTTTTCTCATAGTTCTAGTGGGTAGAGAGTCCAAGGTCAAGGCAACTGCAAATTCAGTGTCTGGTGGGGATCGCTTTCTAGTTAATAGACTTCAATCTTTTCTCCGTGTTCTCAAATCAGAGAAAAGGAGTAAAGGAGCTCTCCTGGTCTCTTTTCTAAGGGCACTAGTCCCATTCACAAGGGCTCTGCTCTCATGATCTAATTACTTCTCAAAGGTCTCACCTTTGAGATCCTATAGTAATTAGATCCTATAAATTTTCAACATATAAATTTGGAAAGATACAAACATTCAGTCCATTGTACCAACACTGCATTTGGTAAGCACATATGCTTAAACGATATCACACTTGATTTCATGTGCCTTCTCAATCCTCAGCTTTCCCTGATTAAGAATACCTAATTACTCTGCCCATTTCCTCTGCACCCTCCACCTTGGCCTTTCCACTCACTATTACTACTATCTCCTGCCTTCTTGGTCTCTACTATTCTCCTCACCATCCCTGCTCCCTGGACTATGATCCCCTGTGAGCAGGGACCACCTATATCCACCCAAAGCAATTTTTATTTAATGATTTTTTAATCTCTACTTGTACAGCAGTCAAAATTAATAATAAGAGTAGAAATGGTTAATGTATCTACAAAAAGAGTTAACATGTTTATTTATAGGTTTATTTACCATTTATTATCTTCTTTGGTCCTCAAAGCAACTCTGTGAGGTAGGTAGGCCCAATCATATTGTTATCCCAAAGCATAAAACACTCTAGGTTCAAAGAAATTCAGTGGCTTGTTTAAAGCCAGTAGGAAGTTGTTAGGAATTAGGCCTTTAGTCCAGATTATTTAACTGGAAATCTTGAACTCTTTGTGCTAGTATTTTGACAATGTTAGTTGCCATTTCTGAATCTGACTCTATATTACTGAAATTCAGTATCCAGAACTGTACATAGTACAAACCTAAAGTATTTTCCTTTTTTCTTTCAATATTCTTTTTCTCCCTATATTTTACTGAGTTTGTTTTAGCTACTTTGGTATATTGAACCAGTATCTTTCTAGAGAACCGTATGCAATCTCTACTTTTTTTACTCTTTATTCTGAGTCATTAGGCTATAAAAAATTAAGGTATTTCTTTAAGGGCATCTTTCCATATTGAGATTTCCTGGCGTTTCACACAGACTTGGCAAGTTCTTCCTGTGATTTAATCTCACTGCCTTGTTATTTCACTAGTTAAAAATATGCGCCTGCACGTTTTGATATTTCACTGTGTATTTACAACAATAATTTGTGATAATGTTAAATAAGATAGGTCATAAGATAGGTCATGCACTCATCAGTGAGGAATAATACTGGTTAGACTTCTTCATTCAGAGCCCATTATTGCCTCTTGTTACTGCCTCGTACCCACTCCCATTTCTACACAAAACAGCCTTGTACACAGTCAAAATTTCAAAGTTTCCATTGTTGTGATGTTTAGAATGATAAAATACTTAAGGCCATCCTCTGTGAAGTCTCCCTGAATTTTCCTATGTTCACATTAACCACCAGTAACTAACCAAATAGCTCTTCATTCAACATATACTCACCGAGATCATATTCTCCAAAACCCCATGTACCACTCATCACCCAAGACCACCTTCAGAACACTACTCATCTTACCACTTAACCACCACTCCTTGGAAGGTCATACCACCTGGCTATATACCACTCCACTCTTCCTCATCCATGGATCTCAAGTGTGCCTTCCCTGTCCTGTGAAAACTCTGCCCCCTGAAGCAGTCTGCCTCTTTTTCTCAAATGATGCTGTCATTCTAATTTCCATAAGATGGTAAAGAATAACTGAGTGATGAGGAAACAGTGGTACATGTTGAAGTGAGTTAACTCTTCAAGCTTCCATTCTAAAATCCCTAATACCAACTCATACATAAAATCTCCAGGTACTGGTACTGTTTTATCATTTCATTGATAAAAGATGAAGTGTTTATTAACCCCCAAAGAGGCAGTGTACCATACCAAGTGAGGGTGAGGGCTTTGCAACCGCTAAGGCCTGTGTTCACAGTCACTCACTCTCTATGAGACCCTGAGCAAGATACTTATCCTCAGTAAATTTCATTTTCCTTGCCTGTGAAATGGAGATAATAATAGTTCCTACCTTACTTAACATAGTGCCTCATTTATGATGCATGTCAGAAAATGTTAGCTATTATTTACACATGATTGTTATTACTGATATTAAAAAGTGAGTAAATATTTCTTTTTACTGTTAGTTCTTAAATACCTTCATGACAGCTACTGCTGCTCCCCTAACCGTGGATATTGCTTGTACAGAAAACAGAACACATATCTTCACTATAGGAGAAAAAGGAAGCCTCGTGTAACACTGCAGTGCAAAGTCATTCATGTTGTGCAGCTTAAGTGTCAAAATCTCGATGTAAATCCTATTTACTAATCAAAATTATGTCAGAAATAGTGAAATGTGTTAAGGCATGGACATCTGCCTATAAACAATTTAGAGTACTCTGACAGAAAATATAGGATGATTTTAGTATTATTTTCTAATCTAAGTTTTTGCTTAGTATTAAAAGATGAGATTTGGTTATGATTTTCCTTTCAGACGTCTTGCAAAGATATCAGGAACTTAAGGCAAATAATACCTTAAATTTCAAAATGCAAATTACTAATTTCTTTCAAAACAGATACTTAAATGATTAAGACAGTTTTTCTATTTTTTTCTCTGCCAATTAGCAATAATGCACATGAAAACCCTAAAGAAGTGGCTATCCATTTACATTCTCAAGGAGGCAGCAGCGTTCATCCCCGAACTCTGCAAACAAATGAAGAAAATAGCAGGTACCTATATACATACTGAATTCAAAATGTTTTCAACAACTCAAATATCAAAAATGGAAACAGGACTTGAATATGATATTGCACTAGGTAGGTCATTGATACCAAAGAATTTAGAAAGTACTTCAGGAGTTGGAAACTTCTTTTTTTTTTATTGGATTATTATTGTCATTTCCAATGTTTTGGGGTGATGACTCTATAAGTTAGTACAGTCACAGTCACTACTTTTTCAAAGCATTCCTATAATTTCCTGTATTTATGCTATGAAACTTTGAGAAGTAGTATGCTTTTTTCTTGTGGAACCCAAGAATTTGCTGCCTGCTTGTACCTCCAAGTCTTCCAGCTTCCCTTAAATGCACAGAGTCACTTTAATGTCCTCTAGAGACTTTCACTTTACCTCCCCAGCCACCAACCCCCTTGATTTCTGACTTCCACTGAATTCTCTACTTCATTTGGCCTCTTTGACTGCTCCTTCTTTTGGTCCTCATTCCCTTGGGCTTATTAAATACCTAACCTTTCATTCTACCTATTCAAAGCAGGCTTACTGCAAGCTGTTGTGCAGTACACATTGCTAAAGATTTGGGGTGAAAAGGGAAATTATACCATTATCAAAAGTGGTATGTATCAATATTAGAAATCACTGAACTGAAAAGTAACTAGTACACCAGGGACCTGAAAACTACCACCTGTGAGCCAAATCCAGCTGGCCACTTGTTTTTGTGAATAAAGTTTTACTGGGGCACAGCCACACCCAATCGTTTGTCTACTGTCTCTGGCTCCCTTTTATACTACAACAGCAGAGCTGAGTAGTTGCAACAGAGACCCCAAAAGCCAAAAGTATTTACTATCTGGCCCTTTAGTGGAAGACTTTGCTAACCCCTGAACTATATCATACTATGAGAAATTTCTCACTGGCTAGTTCCCCTTTTAACCTGGGCTTTCCATCCTCTTCCCAGGCCTCTCTCTCTCATTGGATACTCCTCTCTTTTGTTCAAATCTTTACTGCATTCTCAGGGTATGCAGTAAATACAGGCATTCAGACTCTCGGGCTTCTTGCAAATTCAAAACTCCATTTTTCTTTAAAATTCAGAGCAATTTATTTGGCTCTGGCTTACTTTGGCTATGCCCAAGAATCCTAAAATGTCCTACCCATAGGTGTTTGGAACATTTTCAGGAATAAGATCACCATATGCCCTAGAACAGAATTAGGCCAGTCCTGTAGAAAGCAGAAGCAAAAGCACCACAATCATTACTGAATTTCCTTTCTTTATGTCCTACCTCTTTCTCATATACCTGTGCATTAATCTAAATTTGGCATGTTACACCTACATACATCAGAAATCCTAAATTCAACAGAGGACAGTGGAAGGGGCCCCAGGAAAAGTAAAGGAAGTGGAAAAGGTATTTTATAGTTAACCAAAACATAAGTAGAAGCAATTCAAACTTTTCTAAACAAAAAATTACAGATTATGTCCTATTTTCTCCTATAATAGAAATGAATTTGCAATGCCCTGTTTATTATCTGTCTTCCTAGTTGCTTTGCTTCTAGCTTATTTGTCATTACTGTTTATGAAAACAAATGAAATATGCATTGCTTTTTTAAAATTCAGAATTGATATTTTACTTTTTGAAGCTTTAATGTTTATCTGGCCTGATCCTTCTCAAATGGGCATATGTATACACTGGGGGATACATGGCTAATGCTAATATACCAAGGGGATATAAAAATCATAAGATGAAAATGGCATGGTTTCCTAGAGAATATATTTTTCTAATATTACTCCAATAGTTCAAATAAAAATTGTATTATTTCAACATGAACACAAACACATTTATAAGGGAGGAAAAGACAAATAAATAATGCAGGAAGTTTAAGATAAAATAAGACGGCTGGGCGCTGTGGCTCACGCCTGTAATCCCAGCACTTTGGGCGGCCGAGGCGAGTGGATCATGAGTCAGGAGATCGAGGCCATTCTGGCTAACACGGTGAAACCCCTTCTCTACTAAATACACACACACACACACAAAATTTAGCCAGGCGTGGTGGTGGGCGCCTGTAGTCCCAGCTACTCGGGAGGCTGAGGCAGGAGAATGGCGTGAGCCCGGGAGGCGGAGCTTGCAGTGAGCCGAGATCGCGCCACTGTACTCCAGCCTGGGTGACAGAGCAAGACTCCGTCTCAAAAAAAAAAAAAAAAAAAAAAAAAAAAGATAAAATAAGACAGAAAATATTGTGCTTTCAGGGATGCTTTAGACTATGTCTCCAAAGTTCTTGCGTGAGGCATTCATTTTCCTTTACTATCAGAGTGCTATGGGGGAAAAGTCAGGCAGAACTGATTCAGGGCCAGCTGTGTGGCCACTCATTTACAAACAGACGAAATAACAGCAGACTGGAAGAACAACAACCATTTTTACAAGAGTTCATTTTAAAAATATTCCACAATGATAAATTATTTGATTTAGCCTCATTCCTGTCAGATTACCTGCCTAAAACACTTTTCCGCCTTTCTTTCTATCTAAATTCCCTGAACCCAGCTCCAGCTCTGAATTCAATCAACCAAGATGCTCTCCCAAACAACTCTAGTCCAAAATGATATCTCTCTTTGAAACTCACATTTCCTGACTACACCATTTAAAAAATAAACTAATTTATTTTAACAGTAATATCTCATCATTGTTAAAAACAAGAAATAGGGGAAAATATAAAAAATATAAAAATTACCTGCAATAATCTCTATCTAGTAGTATTCTTAAGCTTCTTTGCATATTGTTAGACATTTGCATATACACCTTGAGATTATATTGATTGCACAATATTGAATCCTGCTTTTTTTACCAAATGACAAACATTTCTCCCATCATTATAACAGTACATAACCTATAGTAATTGACATTTCCTGTGTTGTTTTTTGCCTGTTAACTCTATTGCATTCATGTAGTTGCTTATTTATTCTTCAAACATTCTTAGCCACTTACAATGTGCCATACATTGTGCTTATGTGTGTTTTCTTTTCCATGCTAAATTAACTTCTGATGAATAGAGACAATTTTTTAAAGATCTCCCCAATCTCTGAGTATAATCAAATGAGAAATGTTCAGTAATCAACTGAGCACGTTAATCAATTGAGAAATTTTTCATGCACGTCCCTGTGAAGAGATCACCAAACAGGCTTTGTGTGAGCAACATGGCTGTTTATTTCACCTGGGTGCAGGCGGGCTGAGTCTGAAAAGAGTCAGCGAAGGGAGATAGGGGTGGGGCCGTTTTATAAGATTTGGGCAGGTAAAGGAAAATTACAGTCAACGGGGCTTTGTTCTCTGGCGGGCAGAAGTGGGGGTCGCAAGGTGCTCAGTGGGGGAGCTTTTTGAGCCAGGATGAGCCAGGAAAAGGACTTTCACAAGGTAATGTCATCACTTAAGGCAAGGACCGGCCATTTACATTTCTTTTGTGGTGGAATGTCATCAGTAAAGGCGGGGCAGGGCATTTTCACTTCTTTTGTGATTCTTCAGTTACTTCAGGCCATCTGGGTGTATACGTGCAAGTCACAGGGGATGCGATGGCTTGGCTTGGGTTCAGAGGCCTGACAAAATTAATTTATGAAAATTTCATTTATCCTCAACTTTTTGGAAATACTCTTACATCAAAGTACACCTCAAATTGTGTACACTGACTACTGATCACTTTTCGGTAGGTATAAAGTCCTTAAAAATTTTGTTTCAACTTTCCCTTTTAAGATTAGAATTTTGACCACAGTGTTCCATGGGAACAAAGTGAATCATCTGTGGCAAAATATGCTAGTCAAGAAGTGAGTTAGAATCTGTGCCAAGCGTTAAGACCTTGTGCACCCAGGTTCTGGGGCGGAGTAAAGAGGCAGGCTCCAAAGACATAGCTGTGTGTTGGACATGAGAGTATTTGGAGGAATACAGGTAACAGGTGATGCTGGGAAGTCCTGTGAAATGGAAGGAGAACGAAGATGAGGAATCTGGTGGCAGTAATAACCGGGGAACAGATGAGCTGGAGGCCTCATCAGGAGGGGTGTCCCTTGGTGGAAGGACACCATTCCCGGCCTTAAAAGGAGACGCTTCAGCACGGCTGGGGAAGCACGTGGATACCTTGTACTAAATCCACTACTGCAGCTCATTCTTAACTGTAAGTAGAAGAGGAGGACATGCTTTCTGAAGCTGACCCCTCCAAGATGACCAGTTCCTATTTCTGTCCCCTGCTACCACCATGGTGTAGAACAACAGAATCAAAAAAACATTTTTTCTGTTATGGGTGACCTGTACGTTTTCTAGAATGGAAGGAGGCTGTTTAGTAGCTCAACTCTGAGAACACTTTTTCTTTGGACAAAATTAAAAAAGGAAAAGGTCAAGTTAATCATTAATCTCTCTGTTTTCTACTAATGTCTCCATTTTCGCCATACTTTCTATGTCCTACATAGCAGCCATCACAGAGGGCAATAAACACTTCTAATGACCGTGTAATTTATATGGAATGCTGAAGGGGTGGGTTGGCCCTCCACACCTGTGGATGTTTCTCATTAGGTGGAACTAGAGACTTGGAAAAGAAAGAGACACAGAGACAAAGTATAGAGAAAGAAAAAAGGGGGCCCAGGGGACCGGTGTTCAGCATACGGAGGATCCACCGGCCTCTGAGTTCCCTTAGTATTTATTGATCATTAATGGGTGTTTCTCGGAGAGGGGGATGTGGCAGGGTCATAGGATAATAGTGGAGAGAAGTTCAGCAGGTAAACACGTGAACAAAGGTCTCGGCATCATAAACAAGGTAAAGAATTAACTGCTGTGCTTTAGATATGTATACACATAAATATCTCAATGCCTTAAAGAGCAGTATTGCTGCCTGCATGTCCCACCTCCAGCCCTAAGGCGGTTTTCCCCTAACTCAGTAGATGGAATATACAATCGGGTTTTACACCGAGACATTCCATTGCCCAGGGATGAGCAGGAGACAGATGCCTTCCTCTTGTCTCAACAGCAACGAGGCGTTCCTTCCTCTTTTACTAATCTTCCTCAGCGCAGACCCTTTACGGGTGTCAGGCTGGGGGAAGGTCAGGTCTTTCCCTTCCCATGAGGCCATATCTCAGGCTATCACATGGGGAAAAACCTTGGACAATACCTGGATTTCCTAGACAGAGGTCCCTGCTGCCTTCTGCAGTGTTTTGTGTCCCTGGGTACTTGAGATTAGGGAGTGGTGATGACTCTTAACAAGCATGCTGCCTTCAAGCATTTGTTTAACAAAGCACATCTGCACAGCCCTTAATCCATTTAACCCTGAGTTGACACAGCACATGTTTCAGGAAGCACAGGGTTGGGGGTAGGGTTACAGATCAACAGCATCTCAAGGCAGAAGAATTTTTCTTAGTACAGAACAAAATGGAGTCTCCTATGTCTACTTCTTTCTACACAGACACAGTAACAATCTGATCTTTCTTTTCCCCACATTTCCCCCTTTTCGACAAAACCGCCATCATCATCATGGCTGTTTCTCGATGGTTGCTGTCTCTTTGGAGCTGTTGGGTACACCTGCAGACTAACAACAGACAAAACAGGCACACAAGGATTAATATGAAATTTATAATCGTAGTACTTCCGATGGTCTTAACCCAAGTGACAGGGTTAAGATTTGCGAGGCCATCAGCAACTCCTGCGATTGCCTCAGTTCCTGGCACCAAATTTAAATGGGCTTTTGATGTTTCAAAAATTTGTTCCTTTAATTTGGAAATGTCTAAAGTGAGATTATCTTCTGTTCCCTGTAGATGGCATCTGACCATGTCCCAGTGATGCTCAGACTCATTATAAACTTGGGGTGTAATACAAAAATCTGAGATATTCCAGTCACACTGTAACTGGAAACGATGGTCTAAGTTCATAAGCCTGTCTCCCATCCAAATGACAGTTTGTCTAAGATCATTAATTTGGTTTGCCAATTTTTGATCAATACCAGATTGTGAATTCCACAATCTTGTAGAATTTTTTTGCCAATCATTAACAAAGTTTACTGACTGAACAGAAGAGTGCAATGCAACTCCTGCCATAGCAGCCGTAGCTGTGACTGCAATTAATCCCATAATCACTGTAATTAAAGTAAAAATGAATCTTTTGGATCTATTTAAAATGGCTTTTAATACTTCAGTCAAAATATGGACGGATGGCAAGGCCTCCCACGGTTGGTCCATGGACATAGAAATCCACACGGCTTCTCTTGCCCTCACCAGCAGAATACACTGTTGCCAATTAAAAGTTGAATAAATGCAAGTAAACAATCTGCAATTTTCACAGCTTATAGTTTGAGAGTCTGGTTTAATAACTATATTTCCTACAACTAGCATATAAGGGGGCTTTACACAGGTTTGGAAAGGAACTGTTAGACTGGAATTTAGGTTGATAGTATAAAATAGCTTACGATCTCGTTTCTAAAGTTTGATTTCTAGACCAAATTCTAATGCAGTATGAGGCCACAGTAAGCCTCCATAATTCTGGATGTTCAGGACCAGAAACAGGACTTATTATTTTTGGTCTTGGGGTAGAGATTCCTTTTTCTCCCTATTCCCAAGGGTAGAAAGACTGTAATTTTTTAGCTTATGTTTGTCTAAACTTTCTGTTAAGTCGCTATCAACAGCTAGACTCACTTGTGCACTGGGACACGACTGAGTTTGTCCTGTGCAATTGTGGTAGAATTGACCTCGAGGTGCCCAATCTATAATAGTTCCGAATTCACTGTTTTGTAATATCACCGCACTATTGGCCACACATTCTTCCCAAACTAAAACTTCTGTATTTTTTGATCCTTTGGGAATTTCCTTGGGGCAAGGTTTCCCTTTAGGTCTAAATTTTAATGATCTTTGATAAGAAAAGTCTTGTAAATAATTTACCCGTGGCCTGAGTGACATCCCGCTTACCATGTGATAAGTGAATCTACTGATGGGACTGACAGTAGGTACTTCTACCAACCAATTTTGGACTGCAGGCATTAAACATCCTGGTGCTCTCCCTAGGCAGATAGGAGGATAATGATACCCAATGGAAATATTTATCATCATCCCTTCTTCCTCAGGTTTGGCAGGGCAATGATCATCTGTGGGGCCAGGTACCCATACACTATCATTAACATATACTTCAATAGGATTATCCATCCATGTGACTGGTGTTTCCATCTCCGCGGTGGCGCTTTTCTTTGCATCTCCGATGGGTTCATCGTAGATCTTCAAATGTCTAGTGGGTATCCAAACAGGAAGCTGATTTTCTCCTGGTGAAACACAAGCAAAACCTCTCCCCCACGTCACCACCTTCCCTATTTCCCATGTCTTATTTTTATTATCTTTCCACCAAATCAGTTTTCCTTCATGTGGGCTGTTCTTTTTACCAGTAAAATGTTGTTCTGCAGAAGTAGTAGTCTGATTTCTATAAATGTTTAAAAAATTTAAAGTATAGAGTGCTAGATTAAGTTGCATCTGAGGAGTGGTACATTCCTTACTGTCTCCCCCTTCTTTTTGCTTAACTGAGTTTTGAGTGTTCTATTAGTTCTTTCAACTATGGCCTGTCTGTGGGAATTATAGGGAATTCCTGTTGTATGTGAAACTTTCCACTGATGTAAGAATTTTTGGAAAGCTTTACTACAGTATCCTGGTCCATTGTCAGTTTTGATCTTTTTCTGGAACTCCCATTACAGCAAAACAAGATAATAAATGTTTTTTAACATGGGAAGTACTGTCTCGATTATCTGGCCCTAAACAATGTAAAATCACAGTACTTTGATACACTTCTGAGGCTGTGCCTACGCTGACAAGCCCTGTAACAGCCTTTAGTTTAGGCCAATTTTTGGCCACTGATTTAAAGCAATGATAGAGACATCTGCTCCAGTGTCTACTAACCCTTCAAACTGTTTTCCTTGAATAATGGCCTTACACGCAGGTCTGTTCTCTGAGACCCGACTTGCCCAATATGCAGCCTTTCCTGTTGGATCAGTGCTTCCAAACCCTCCTGTTCTTTTTATCTCACTATTTCCAACCTTAATATAAGGCAGGAGTAATAATTGCGCAATCCTGTCTCCTGGACTGGCACTCCAAGGAATTGAAGAGCTAATAACCAATTGAATTTCGCCATTATAGTCTGAATCAACCACATCAGTACGAATTTGAACTCCCTTCAGACTTAGACTTGATCTACCTAAGATTAGTCCTACAGTCCCCTCAGGCAGTGGGCCATATACCCCTGTGGAGATTTTTTGTGGGGGCTCCCCTGGAAGCAGAGAGACTGCCTTTATAGTACATAAATCCACAGCTGCACTGCCGCTTGTGGCGGGGGACAATTGTTGTACTGTGGTAACTGGCTCATTCCCTGAGGCACTTGGGACAGTGGGGGTTGTTGTCCCTGAAAACCCTGAGGAACAAAGGGCTGAATTGGGAATGCCCCAGTTTGTTGCGGGGCCTGAGGCTGGCCCCTTTGCTCATTTTCCCGACAATGGTTGCCCATTTCTATCAAATTTAGAATGACATTGACTAGCCCAGTGTTTTCCTTGTTTACATCTTGGACATAAGTCAGGTGGCTCTTTTTTATTTGAGACTGGGCAATTCTTTTTTAGATGACCAATTTGATCACAATTATAACATTTCCCTCCAAATGTTCTAACTTGTCCTCCTAAAGCAACTCCTGTTATTGTGGAATAAAGTTTAGAAAATATCCAAAGCTTATCAGCCTGTAAATTCTGGGTAGTTCAGTTGTCTACCATGCTGTTAATTAAATGAAAACATCCTGTTATTTCAGGGTCCTTCCTTGACAAAGTACTATACAGCTGAAGAACATCTCGAATACAATTTTGGTGGGAAAGGAGCCAATTGATTTCAACAGAATCAGATCTGAGCTTCATAAAGTCTTTGAAGTGACTTCACAGAGACGCAGACATGTGCACTTGAAGATGCTGCCCCTTCCCTGGTACCTAGCAAAGCTCCTGCCTCTTTGTGTGCGTCACTGTGAAACCCCCACCCTTCTGCCTCGTGCTAAACGCACACAGTATCTAGTCAGGGGAAAAGACTGCATTTAGGAGATAGAAAATAGTTTGGATTACTTAAAGGAATAAGGTGTTGCCTGGAATTTCTGGTTTGTAAGGTGGTCACTGTTCTTTTTTAAAATATTTGTAATATGGAATGGGCTCAGTAAGAAGAGCTTGGAAAATGCAGAAAGTTATGAAAAATAAGTCACTTATAATTATGCTACCTACTGATAACCACTCCTAATATTTTGATTCATTTTCTGCCTATCTTCTTTCACATATGTGTTTTTTTACATACGTACTTTTCCCCCTTAGTTTGTTTCCTTTTATTTTATAGAGCAGAACCCTAGTCTTTTAAACAGTTTAGAGTGAAATATATGCTATATCAGTTTTTACTTTCTCTAGGGAGAAAAATTAATTTACTAGAAAGGCATGAAATGATCATGGGAAGAGTGGTTAAGACTACTGAAGAGAAATATTTGGAAAATAAGATTTCGATATCTTCTTTTTTTTTGAGATGGAGTCTGGCTCTGTCTCCCAGGCTGGAGTGCAGTGGCGTAATCTCGGCTCACTGCAAGCTCCGCCTCCCGGGTTGACACCATTTTCCTGCCTCAGCCTCCTGAGTAGTTGGGATTACCAGTAGATGGGACTACAGGCACCTGCCAACACGCCCGGCTAATTTTTTTGTATTTTTAGTAGAGACGGGGTTTCACCATGTTAGCCAGGATGGTCTGGATCTCCTGACCTCGTGATCCACCTGCCTCGGCCTCCCAAAGTGCTGCGATTACAGGCATGAGCCACCGCGCCTGGCCGCTTTCGATATTTTCTAAACTTTAATTCAAAAGCACTTTGTGCTGTGTTCTATATAAAAAACATAATAAAAATTGAAATGAAAGAATAATTGTTATTATAAAAGTACTAGCTTACTTTTGTATGGATTCAGAATATACTAAATTAACTTTTTAAAACACAACTTTTAAAAAATGTATCAAAATAATAAACGTGTTCTGATATTTTTAAAATAAGTGACCTTGTGTTCTTTAACCAGTCCACATCTTTAGAGAACAAAAATGTGTTATGATATTATGGGCCATGCTAATGACCTCTAGAAAACATCAGAATATTTCTGGATATTTAATAATAGCTTTATATATGACTAATGCTCATTTCTATGTAATTCTGTTTAATAGTTGCTTTAAAGGTGAATTTTGCCACATTTACTTTGACAGCAGTATAAGGAGTGAGATAGACATGAACCTGAATTTCAATTTAAAATCATGGAAGAGAGGGAAAAAAAACCAGCTTAAGAAAAATCAACTGATAAACTGCAAGAAAAAAATGCAACTTACATCACAAAAGCTAATTGCTTTATTATTTAGAGAGTACTTAAAAATTAAAGACCAAACTTCTCTCCACCCAACAAAAATGGGCAAAGGACATACAGCTAGGTCACCAAGAAAGAAGGGCAAATAGGTGGTGAGTATATGTAAAGATACTTGATAGGACTTTTGCTTAGTTGAATCTTTAGCAAATCTCTTTTATTTCTTGGGATTTTGAAGAAGTAATTTTTAAAGGAGGACTAGAAACTAAGTGATTGGGAATTGGCCTTTTTAGAATTAAAATTTCCCATTACAAGAAAAAAAAATCCTGTGTTCTTTTTTTTTTCCAGAATGGAGTAGGTCAGTGAGCAATGTGATTAATAAATATTTCAATGTCTGTGACTTTTGATTTATTTTGGAGACAGGGTCTTGCTCTGTTACCCAGGCTGGAGTGCAGTGGTGCTATCTAGGCTTACTGCAACCTCACCTGTCACTTTTTAATTGCAAGAAAGCTGAAAGGTTTTTTTCTATTATATCAGTTATAATGATAAATACTGTATATACTAACTATGAGTAAAATACTATATTGCCTAACTTGTATTATTAAGCAATTCTGCTAACCTGTGACCTTACATTTTCATCTGAAAAGCAGGGGCTGGACACCAATTGCCCTATGAAGCTATTGCTAGTCCTAACATTCTTTGTTTTGTTTGCTTTTTTGGCACACTTAAGTGTGTACTATGAAGTTTATGATGCTTTAATGAAATTTTCTGTCTCTACCATTGTAATGAGAAAGGAATAAAATACTTTATTTTGCAAATCTACTTATGGAATATAGTTCTGTACCTGATTGTTTTCATAATCCCTGTGTTGATGTGTAATGCCACAGACATGCTCTTGATAGTAACAGGAAAGAAAATCAGACACAGCTAAACATAAAGGTCAGTTGGCTGGCAGGTGCTTAGCAGGTGTAAATAGAGGCCCATTCATGCTGCTCCACTTGCTCCTGAAAAGCATAATGTAAATACAGTATACTAATTAGGAGGCAAAGAACCATCTAACATGGTTCTTTTTTTTTTTTTTTTTTTTTTTTGAGATAAAGTCTTGCTCTGTCACCAGGCTGGAGTGCAGTGGCGCAATCTTGACTCACTGCAACCTCCGCCTCCCAGGTTCAAGCAATTCCCCTGCCTCAGCCTCCTGAGTAGCTGGGACTACAGGTGTGCGCCACCACGCCCAGCTAATTTTTTGTATTTTAGTACAGACGGGGTTTCACCATGTTGGCCAGGATGGTCTAGATCTCCTGACCTCGTGATCTGCCCACCTCGGCCTCCCAAAGTGCTGGGATTACAGGCATGAGCCACCGCGCCCAGCCCTAACATCAAATTTTAAAAGAGTTGGCCACAGTTTAATGACATCCCTGCACACCAGCCTCCACCCATACTGCCCTTCATAAGCCCCTTAAAGGAGATCCCATAGTTCTAAACCGGGTCCACAAACACAGATATCCTCATTCTCTCCTTTTCTTCTCTTTGGCAGTTTGACAAAATCTTTAGGGGGAATTGGAGGAAACATTAATTTCCTAAATCAACTTCATTCAAAGCTTTGGCTTCAAGTTCTACCCGTTAAGGCCTCAGGAAGTTCATTGTCGACATTGAACTCAGTCACTAAAATGACCTCAAGGCTAAGGGATAGACCACAGCTCCACTTCACAAGTAAGCTTGCAACACCTGATTTAGGAAAGTTTGCTGTGCAGACAGTTGTAGCTCATCCATTTTACAGACCGATCTCGATTTGTTTCCTAGGGTCTAAAATTATTTAAATCAAAATCTCTCAGAAATTTCTGGACATTTAATAAATTCATGCTGGAGGAGAACTGGCAGAGATATGTTAAATGCACTTGACCACAAGAACCATTTATTTCATCCAATATTTACCAGCTATTCATTGTACACTTACTACAGATTTTGGCACTGGAGATATTATAAGAAAGCTCTAACCCTGACTTATGGAACTTATCCCAAAAAATAGGAAACAAGGCTCAGAACCATTCAAATGAAGCTTCAGTTAACTCAAATAAAAATTAGTTTTATAAATTTAATGTGAAAGTCTTCGAGTATATTAAGAATGGCTTGATTAACCCCAGGGATGGAAATTTTACTGATTGAAAGAAAGTTTCAATAAAATACCGATCTTTGAATCTAATCTGACACCTGAAACTAGGAAATCAAACACTAGCCATATTTTTTCTTCTATTCTTTATAATAATTTTTCTCATGAGAAAAAGGTATCTTTCTTCCAAGCCTGAAAATAAATGGAGAATTTTTAATATCTATTGATGTGGAGAAAAATAAATAGACTATCTGCTTTCACAAATAAGTGCTGGCATTGAGCCACAGAACATGTCTGTCATATTGCTCTTTCACACCATACATTAACAGGAATAATAATTTCTCCTCATTGAGTTTCCTATTTACTATCCCCTTAATTATACCTCCTTTAATTACTGTCATAGAGTGTCTGAATTTTATAATCCAAGATACTAAGATGTTTATTTGATATACCACCAGACTCAATGTCTTGTATTCTATGCCAAAAATTTGAAAATGTTTGGGAAGAGGAAATTCCGTGGTTTGGTGAACCCAGAAAGTCTTCAGTACATCTCAGTTATAGAACTGTATTAAATACATTTAAACTCTATAATTCCATAAGACCCATTTTAGGTTTATACACTAAGCATCTAATTCCTCACTATCCTCTCATACAAACCCTGTGTAATACAAGTTCTACTCCCATAATTCTATGAACAAAACAACAATTGATACATAGATTTGATTTTTAAAATACATTTTCTTTACCTTATTCTAAATGTAACATAGGGTCAACATAGAAAAAGAAAACTGAAAAGCACAAGGAAAGTGAAATATCTATAATCTTAACCATTGTTAATTTTGTTGTGTTCCAAATTAGTGTATGTATATATATATATATATATATAGCATTTTTGTTTTAATAAAAGGACTGCCAAAATGCACATGCCAATTTGGACTCTGCTTTTTCCACTTACAATGATATCATAGTTTCTCACATTTGGTATTCTTTTGCAATACTTGCTGCATAGAATTCCATCACACAAAGGTAACTGCCTCCTTATTACTTTTGCTAGACACTTAGGGTTTACATTTTTTACAAAAATTATAAATCTTTGATCACAGCTCTGATGATTTCTCTGGGAACTGAGAGCCTAACACAAGTCATTTCCACTTTAAGACTTTTAACATTCTGAAAAGTTATGTTACAAACAGAGTGCTGGTCCCCCTGCAACATGTTCACTCACATTGGCTGACGTTTTAATTCTTTGCCAATCTGAGGGGAAGAGATGTCAACTTTTTTTGTTTGCTCTTTTAATGCCAGTCATGTTCCCTTTTTTTTTCCCCCTTTTACCAGTCATACTGGCTTACTCAGAACCCTACAAATCAATCCTGCTCATTCTTAATTTTCCAACATTGTTCCTGAGATTGTTTCACCAGAAAAGTTCTCCCCCTTATCCACTTCGCCTAACAATTTCTACCCATCCCAATCCTCCTGCATTTATTGCTTCCAGGAATTTGGCACTTAGGACACCCTTGTCCTTACATTGTTCATGCATGTATATTTCGTCTTCAATAAAACATTTAGTTGCTCAAGGGCAAGGGTCCCATAGAGTCTCAATATGCTAACGGCCTGGTGTTGCTTAATAATTTAGATTCTGACGGGTCCTCTCCAGGGAGGGGAGCAAAGGGCAAATTATCTTAGGGGCTGGGAGTGCAGAAGCCAAACCTTTGAGACTGTGAAAAGAAGACGGCGCCGAGACGATTCAGTAGCAGGCATTCAAGCAAGAAAAACTCAAATATTGTTCCCAATAATGCCTGACTAATGCCAAATACCAAGTAAGGGCCCAGGCAGTCCTGACAGCCTGCAGTGCCCCAGGATAAAACTAACCCTGAGGGGTGCTAGCCCACGATAACCCCCTGCCAGGGCTCTGGACACGCCCTGTCTCCTCGAAGGCCAACGGGCTGCCCCTGCGCGCCGAGGCCCCGCCCCGCGGCCCGCCGATTGGCCCCAGCCGCCCCGGCGCTAAGACTCAATTTCACACTACGCGCCCAGGCCACGCCCACCTGTCATGCGGCCCTGGAAACTGTGAGTTTGGGGATTGTTGTGTCCACTAACCGGACTCAGAAGGGACTTCCCTGCTCGGCTGGCTTTCGGTTTCTCTGCTCACCTCCGGATAAATCACGGGGTCTCCCGCGCCGCTCATGGCGCCTCCCGTCCGTCTCGAGCGTCCCTTTCCTTCCCGGCGCTTTCCTGGGTTGCTTCTGGCGGCCCTGGTGTTGCTGCTGTCCTCCTTCTCCGGTAGGACCCCGGGGTGGATTCGCGCGTCCGCGGCGAGGCTAGAGCTCTGCTCAGTCAGTCGGGCAGGAGGCGCGGGGCGAAGCTCACTGCACGTCGTGCCTGCTTGGGATAGAGAGCGAGGCCAGGGTTCTCCGAGGGGTGCCGTGCTCAGATCCCGGGGGTATGTGGCGGGGGATGCGGGAACCACGCAGAAGCTTGTTTGGTGGCATCGTGTGCGCGGCCGACATTTACGCAGGATCTGGCTGCGTTCCCAAAAGAAGCGTGAATCGTGTTTTCGGGATTGAGCCCAGTCAGCAAGGGGAGGGCTTACTGGGCGCCCCAGGTGAGGGCTTGCTCTGGAGTGCACAGGTGCGTGGGATTGTTGCTAGAGCCCGTGCTGTGCCCGTGGTGAGAGTTTGCCCTGTGTTCCCTTGGTGCCTTGGTGAGTAGGGTGTTCATTAGGGCTTGGACAGTACCCGCGGTAAGGGTTGCAGTGCGTCTGCTGTGCCCCATGGGCTGGGCTGGCCTGGGCTGGGCTGGGCGAGCAGGGGCCTGGCCAGGTGTTGCTGGGAGCGTGCTGTGCGCAAGTGGCCTGTGTGCGGAGTTCACTGTGGGCAAGACAGCTCACTGTTTGCTTTGAGTGGAGCGAGCGCGGACTCTGCGGCTAGGGAGGGCATGTTGAGTGAGAGCAGGCTCTCAGTGCCTGGGGTTAGAGAGGTGGTAAGGGCGCACCATGCTTTTAGTGCCTTCTGTGAACAGTGTCCGTGTTGCCTGAGATCGTATTGGTCTTGAATTTTAAGTGGCTGCTTTTTTGGGGGGTGGGTGGGCCATCGAGTCATCTTCCTGTTCCCAACCAATATAGACAGTATCTGATTCCATTGCCTAGTGGCTTTTTGACATTGTTTTCCTTCTTTTCATTAGTTTGAGTCATATTTGAGAGATGTGAAGCAACCTAAAAAACACTGGTAGCCAAACCTAGTGAGAAATTAGTATCCTAACAAAGGAAGGCAGATAATGTTAATCTTGTTTTCCCCTACAGCTCATAAACTGAAGCTTAAGGCCTATCCCACTGTTTTGTATTTCATTGAATGGAATCAATATTTTTAAAAATGCATGCTAGGCCAGGCCCAGTTGCTCACACCTGTGATCCCAGCACTTTGGGAGGCCCAAGTTGGGTGATTGCTTAAGCCCAGGAGTTCAAGATCAGCCTGGACAACATGTCAAAACCCCATGTCTACAAAAAATAAAAAAATTAGATGGGCATGGTGGTGTATGCCCGTGGTCCCAACTACTCCAGAGGCTGAGGTGGGAGGATCGCTTGAGCCCAGGAGGAGAAGACTGCAGTGAGCTGTGATCATGCCACTGCACTCCAGCCTGGATGACAGTGTGAGACCCTGTCTCAAAAAAAAAAAAAAAAAAAAAAAAAGCCAAAAAATACATGCTTAAATACAGGCTTATTGTGCAAAATGAACAAAATAAAAGGACAACTGTTTTTAATATTTTGTTATATTTCCTTCTGACTTTATTGTGTTTCATGTGTATCTATGTCCAAATTATATTTAGGATCTTATTCCATGTACAGATTGTACGTTGCATTTCTTCTCTTAGGAACATTCATTCAACAAATATGGGTCTTGTATGTCTGGTGCTGTTACACTAGTAGGTAATAACAGACAATTCCTATTTTCTTTATCCTTTTTTTACTATTTGTTTACACACACGTACATGCAGGAAGATAAGCAGGGACTTTTTTTGCTCATTGTTAAGTGCTTAATGCCGGGAACACAGTAGGCAATCAACAGATGTTTGCTAAAATGTATTGGGAGTGGCAGACATTAACCAAAACATAATAGTAACAAATATATTAACCAGGGAAGTGTTCTGGAGGAAAGGAGTATAATTTTCTGACAGCATTTAACAAATGACTGGGGGGAGGGAAGGCTTTGCTTCTCATCAAACAGACAAAACTCTGCCACTTTGGGGCATCTGTGCTTTCTGTTCCCTCAGTCCTGGAACGTTCTCCCCATGACCTGCTGCATAAATGGGCTGTTTCTTCTGCAAGCTCAGCTGGAATGTTACCGCTTCAGAGACCTTCTTGGAACCCCCCAACTCAGGTTGAACACATACAACCCAGTTCAAGTACCTCTTGTAATCACCCTTTTAAAGTGATCTTTTCTGTTCTCTGTCTCTCCCCATCAGAATGCAGGAATCTTCTGTCTTCCCCCATTTGTGGTTCCAAAAGCCCCATTTGTTTGCTTCTGTATGAACCCTAACTCAGTATCCATATAGACATCTGTTAAATATCAGAAAATTAAATATACTATTTGGCTGGGGCTTAGAGCCTAGGAAAAAGTCCCTCCTGCCTCCAAGAGGAAGGTTCTTTAAAGAGCTATGCTCAGGATGGTCTTTCTGTTGTACCTAAAAAGCTAGGGCAGCAGCAGCTGAGGGCCAGAAAGGATCTGTCTCCCCTGTTTATGTTGACTCTGCAGGGCTTCCAGTACTTCAGTCTTGCATCTCACTGATCATTAAAACGTTCATTTTGAAGGAGGGTGATGGGATTAGGGAGCAGTGGTGTTAAGAAGAAAACGAAAGGACTTTTTTTTCTTTTTAAAGATTAATGTTTAGAATAGGCTTAGTACTAGAAGTACATACAGCCTGGGCATCATAAGGAGAGCCCACCTCTACAGAATATTAAAAACAAAAAATTAGCCAGGTGTGATGTTGCATGCCTGTGGTCCCAGCTACTTGGGAGGCTGAAGGGCGTGAAGGGGGAGGATCACTGGAGCCCCCATGGTCAAGGCTGCAGTGAGCCCTAATCATACCACTGCACTCCAGCTTGGGTGACAGAGTGAGACCCGGTCTCAAACACACACACACACACACACACACACACACAGACACACACACACACACAGAAAAAAAAAAAAAACCTGGAAGTTGAAGAAGATAATGAAAGCAATTTGAAATAGAGGAACATAGAATTATAAAATGAATAGGGTGCAACATGGAAGATAACAAAACTAAAAATGAAGAGAAGGAAAAATAAGGTTAAGTTTGAGGTTGATAGGGTTAAATCAAGACAGGTATGAAACCTAGAGAAAGTAAAAATGAGAACTCACGATGCTAGGCAGAGAGAATACATGAATTAAAATAAACATTCAATTTTTGGAGCAACTCACTCTCACAAAGATAAGGTTTTGTAAGCAGGTGGTGCTGTGCATGGGAGACCTGCCCTCTCAAAGGTAGTTGCCAAATGGTTCCAGATAGCAGAAGGAAACATGTGTCAAATTTCAGGCCAGTCTCATTCATTCCTCCAGAAGAGGAGCTGCTTTTTTGGACAAAACCCCCGATCTCCTGTTGTGTGTGGTCTCTTCTGCCTATTTCAGGTGTTTTCCTTATTTTCAATGAAAGAAGCCAAGACCAGTAAGTTCTTATTGCTTCTTAGTTTCCTCACTCGGCATACTACAATGCAAAAAGAGCAGTCCATATCTGGTCACCTGCCAGGATACCAGAAGACTGGGAGATAGGCAGCACAAGAAATGGCTAAATCTTCTTTCTCCATTGTTCTGTAGAATGATTATTTTCAATATGAAATTGATTACAATATATTCTTCACATTGTTTTGTGTTTGACAGCAGTGGACTTTGAGTACCAAATTTTTTTCAAATAGCTACTATGAGGGACATATTGTGCTGGGTGTTGTGGCCACATGGATGAATGGAGTCGGCCTTGTTAACTATTAAACTCAAAAACACGTGATAATTACCTGAGAGATCCATGCAGGGGAGAGTCCAGGGGAAGGTGACTGATCACTGCTTCCCAGGGGGAGGCAGAAAATGCTTCTTGGAGGAGATGATGGGTGGATTAAAGAAGACAAGAGCTGAGCAGGAGTTGTAGCTACCGGCCAGGGAGGAAGGGTATTCAGAGCAGAGGAAGCAAGGTGAGCAAAGGCACCAAGATGTGACACTGCTGGACTGCCAAGCTATTCAGTGTGGCAGAGTAGGGTAAAGGAGACAACAAAGAAGGGAGAGGAATAAATCACAGGGTGAGCAGTTCTAAAAAGCAACAGGCTTGTCAGGAATAAACAATCACCATCGTAAACTCAGACTTTGGTATTATTCCCTGTCCTTTTAGGGCAGCTTGAGCCCTTTTGTTTGACTTAGCACAACGTGACTCCAAACTAGGGTTGTTTTAATTTCCCGAGACACAGTAGTAGGCAATTTCTTGAGGACCTAATTGCAGATAGAGTTTGTCGGTCTCAGCATGTGGGAGCTCCAGATGAATGGCAGTAATGGGAAGCAGTTTGGTAGTGGTTCAGCAGTGTGGCCTGGGAACCTAGTTGACTGGCCTGCCTCCTGGGTCTGCCAACCTAACTGGAATGTATTCTTGGGTTCTGATTGTGATGGGATTTAAAAGTCTCTAAGCTATGTTAGGAAGCCTTAGACATTATCCTGAGGTCATTGGAGAGCCATCGAAAGGTATCTGTCTTGGAAAAACCTTGATTACTCTGTCATATAAATACTGCTCTGGTAATGTGAAAAATGAATTGAATGAAAGGTGGCAAGATAGGTATGGAGACCTATTTAGTTATGTCGTGGTAATCCAGATAAGAAATGATAGTGGCTTGAATGAAAAGTAAAGGATACAACTACATAGAATAAACGGGCATTTCAGTTGTGGAAACATAACTTGTTTGGGGGGCGTGTGTGTGTATGTGTATGTGTGTGTAGAGTCAAAAGTGGCTCTTGGGCCTCCCTTTGTTGTTTGAGCTAGAGTGACACATTCCAAGTAGAGCTGTGTGGGGAGGCAATTGAATATGTAGTTTTGGCACCCCAGCTAGAGATCTGGGATGGAGAGATACCCAGCTAGGAGGCAGCTGGTTATCAGTGGTAATGAAGTCACAGAAGTGTATATATTCTCCCAGGGGGACCTGCAGAATGGAATCACAGGAAGTCCTCCTACAGACTCATCAGGGATATTACCTTGGTATGAGCCAGAGGACAAGCTGAAAACCAGAGTGGTTTGCTCTCCTAAAAGCCAAGGAGTGAGAACTCTTCAGGCAGAAGAGAGTGAGGGCAGAGTGATCAGTAGCTCTCACGTTATCAAGAGGGTAATTCAAACTATTAAGGAAGAGACTGTTAGGAGGAGTTTAACAAGGAGGAGGCCCTTTAATGACTCAGAAAGTAGTTGAAGTAATTTTCATAGACCTAAAAATGAGTGGGAAGTGAGAAATAAAATTGAAATATGTAGATGTCAGAGTTTATGTTTTGTGGAAGCAAAAAAGGTTTTAAATAGATTGGATAGTGGGAGAAGGAGCAAGATGGTCAGGTTTCATTGCCATTTCACTTGTAGTCAAATACCATGAATTTCTGGTAATACTAATCTGGGCAGGGCTGTGGGTATGCGTGTACATTAGTTAATTTTTTGCAAGCAGGTGTGAATGTACAGAAGTTGAACAGTTCAGTGGATGCAGTGTAGATTTTTTTTTTTTTTTGAGACAGAGTCTCGCTCTGCTGCCCAGGCTGGAGTGCAGTGGTGCAATCTCAGCTCACTGCAACCTCTGCCACCTGGGTTCAAGCAATTCTTCTGCCTCAGCCTCCCGAGTAGCTGGGACTACAGGCGTGTGCCACTACACCTGGCTAATTTTTTGTATTTTTAGTAGAAATGGGGTTTCACCATGTTAGCCAGGATGGTCTCTATCTCCTGACCTCGTGATCCGCCCGCCTCGGCCTCCCAAACTGCTGGGATTACAGACGTGAGCCACTGCACCCGGCCCAGTGTAGATAATTCACTTTACTAAAACTCACCTGGAACTTTGGGGAAATTTCTGACTGCACCTATCTTATGATATAATGGCACCTACTGTTGAGGTATAGTATTGTAGCTTAATATTAATTATAATATAAAATATCTAGAAAAAATAAGTCAAGATACTGTTTTTCTGGGGGTAGGCATGTTTAGTTTGAAATTTTCCATAGGAAGAAAGTCCTCTGAAAACGTATTGCCAATAAGTGCATTGCAGGACATGATATATAAAGAAAATATTGGACAGTATATATATGGAGAATTTTAGAATTTAGAATATGACATGAAATGAAGGTGAGATTTCACTTGGTTAGAATTTTCTTGACCAGTCTCTCAACCTGAGGCAGGACCATGACCAGGGAGTAAGAAAAGAAATGCTCCTTGGAGATCAAAATAGATCTATCTACTTTGGTCCTTCCACTATAGAAGAGGCCTTTGCATTCTGTTGGCCCTTTAGGCTTTTACTTGATGTCTCCATCATCTTATTTTGCAAGCCCACAGATAATTTGAGGAAGATGAGTTGCCGCAGTAGAAATGATAGGGAGAAAAAAAAAACTACAAAAAACAGAAATAAAAAATTCTAAAACCACAGCAATATAGTAGCTTTATTATAGGACATGCTGGATAAACAATCCAACAGCTACCTCAGGGAGCTTCTGAGAGAATGCATGATGCAATGATCAGTGAGGCAAGATCAAATTGTGTTTGATGTTCAAGAAAGGAAAAACAATTCATGTAAGTCTATCCAAAGTAGTAAATGTTTTATATTTAAGTAGTGTATATTCACTTGTCAGATGCTCAGTTCACTTATCTGAAACCTATGAAATAAAGTCTTATATTTTAGAATATTTGAGTTCATATTTATTTTAATCTATGAAATCCACTACATTTACTTAATAATCACCTCTTACCATAACATTTCTTGAGCACCCACAAGGTGGGTAGAGTGTAGTAGAAAAAGAAGAACATGGTCCTTGACCCCCAGGAACTTGCCTTTTAAGAGAAGACAGCCTGAAGTGACAAGCTGTTATAAGTTAGTGTTTTAAACTATGGAAGAACAATCTGAGCAGAGTGCTCTATACTGTAGATGACTTCTTAGAGGAGAAGTTACTTTTGAAATGAATTTAGAAAAATGTGGAGAAAGATGCATCCATATATATTTTAAGACCAAAGACATTAATGCTGTCTCTTCAGTTTATTGTCGAATGTTTATTCCCAAACAAACCAAAAGCTAATAGGATGTTACTTAAAACATGCAAATCCCATTTCCTCCACTACTACCAGCACTCAGGTAAAAGCATGGAACAGTCATTTAAAATCTTGCCAAGGGCCTTCCTATTTTTTCTGTACTACCTGCTGCCAGACCACAGTCCATGGCTGATGAAAGTGATATCAGTACTTCATCTTCATGTTCCTATTCTCTTATCCCTAGATGCCTATGAGGAGCCACCAACATTTGAAGCTATGGAGCTCATTGGTAAACCAAAACCCTACTATGAGATTGGGGAACAAGTAGATTATAAGTGTAAAAAAGGACACTTCTACGTACCTCCTCTTGCCACCCATACTATTTGTGATCGGAATCACACATGGCTACCTGTCTCAGATGAGCCCTGTTATAGTAAATAAACTAGCCTTTTTTTTTTGTTTTCTGCTTGCTCTAGAGATTTGCACACATTTTAGGGTACATATTCCACTATGGAGATGATGATTTTTTTTTCTTGTGAAATGAGGTTTAAGATAGCAATGCATTTTTGCAGACTTTGAGAAATTGAAATCTCCAAGAAATCTTTTTCTTGGCAATAGATTGCCTGGGTGAACATGAAACTGAAATTTGCCCTTATAATAGGTAAAGAAAGAAAATAATATGCCCATGCATTCAAAACCGCAATGCAGAATTTTGACCTTGATTCCAATCTGTTTAGAAACTGGATTGAAAAAATCTCAAAATTATTTTCTTTTAGGAAAAACATGTCCATGTATAGGTGATCCTTTACATGGCCAAGCAGTCCTTGCAAATGGGACTTATGAGCTAGGTTATCAGATACACTTTATTTGTAATGAGGGGTAAGTAAGTTCCTCCTTAGAGGAAATAAGGAAAATGTTAGTAATTTTATTTTCGTTTTGCTTCTCTTCTTAAGCTTTCATATAAACTTTATTTAATTTTGCTTTCTATGTGACAAGTTATACTTCTAGCCAAACAACTCTTGGATGTTTTATGGAGACAGCAAAGACGTAGAGTAAATAGAAATTGATATTGAAGGAAAGCATAACTACTTGCTATTTCTGACAATAAGTCTGTTGAAAGCATTAAGAGTGTAGTAATCATGAGAATTCATCCTTCACAACTGAGTGTCCCCTATTTAAATCTGCAAACTCTTAGAGTTAAAGTAGGGCTCACAGAAATGAGAAATAGAATTGCCAACTAAAAATATGCTTGTATCCAGATGACTCTGTAAAGTGTGACCTGGTTAGCCTTTACCATCATGTTGAACAAAAGCTCTCAGTTGAAAAACCTTATTTCTGAGACTGCTACAATGTGAAGCATCTCAAGAACAGGCACTGAGCACTCGGTAATAGCCTTTGTTCTGCAGGACTTTTAAAGTCATAGATATTGGGGATACTGGACATTTAAGTGAAATGTGCTTTTAGAGAGTAAATGTAATTTTCATAGATTTTCTATTGCTATAACACAATACGTGAGACTAGATAATTCATAAAGAAAAGAATTTATTTGGCTCATATTTCTGGAGGCTGGGGAATTCAAGGGCATGGCAGTAGTACCTGGCAAGGGCTTTCATGCTGCATCAGAACATGCTGGAAAGTGAAAGGGAAATTCAGCACTTGCAAAAAAGACAAAGCACAAGGGAGGGGCTCTCGCTTTATAACAACCTGCTCTTGTGGTAACGAATCCAAGCCTACAAGAATGAAGATCCACTCCCTCAAGAATTAATGAAGACCCTCTAGAAAGGCATTATCCCTCTTAATGCCCTAATCATTTCTGAAAGGCCCCATCACCTCTCACTGCTGTTACACTGGCAATTAAATTTCAATAAGAGTTTTGGTAGAGACAAACCAGATTCAAACAATAGCAATAATACACTATAATATATAAACAAAGTGAGTCTTGGAGGAAAAGTGCACTGTGACCATGTAAGGCAGTTTCACTAAGAGTTTTTAAAATTTGGTCAAGTAGAAATATTGGAGTATTCAATTAATAGTTACATAGAGCTTGCTAGGCACTATGAGGGATACCAAAAGTTTAAGACATGGACCCTCCTAAAAGAAGTTCTAACCTTATTGAGAAACAATATATACTGAGAGGTATCAAACCAAAATACTAAATGAGAAATACCAAATAATAGAATTAATCATGTTATTACACTAAGAGTCCAGAAGGAGGAGAGATTCCTGTGAATTTAAATCAGGGAAGATTTCACTGAGTATAGGTGTATACTCAATGAAAGTATTCCTATACTCAATGAGCTACTCCTAGAAAGACATTCTGTTCTAAATAATATTAATAGGAGCTAAAACTCGTGTAGCACTCACTATGTGCCAAATGCTAACTTATCTAATCTCCTAAACAACCCCACGAGCTATGTACTGTTATCCCCTTTTAATCAATTAGGTAACTGAGTGAGAGGAACTTTAAGTGATTTACCCAAGCTCAAGAAACTAGTAAGTTGGGAAGCAGAGACTCTAATCCAGGCATTCCAGCTCTAGGGCCTGTTCTCTCTACAGTCTTGTCCTTACTGAGCAAAGTCGTGTGAGAAAACGCACAGAAATGAATGTGTAATGTGATTGCAGGAGGCAGCAAAGAGGCTGGGTGGAACGGCACAGCAGATTTATTTAGATGTTTTTGCTCTCGGCCAATATACGTTCAAATAGAGAAACTCTTTATTTGATTAAATTGCAGATTTATTTAGCACTTTCATTATATAGTATGTTGTTTAAGAAACCACCCCCCTCAAATTACTGCAGCGTAGAAAATAAACCATATAAAAAGTTCCTTCATTATTATGTGTCTTATTAATTGCTATACAAAACAGTAACCCTTTCTTTTCCCATTTAGTTATTACTTAATTGGTAAAGAAATTCTATATTGTGAACTTAAAGGATCAGTAGCAGTTTGGAGCAGTAAGCCCCCAATATGTGAAAGTAAGTAAATTCTTTTTTTTTTTTTTTTAATTCAGACCAGTAGTCCTCAAAGATTTTTTGCCTCAGGGCACCTTTTACATTTTAAGATTAACAAAGATCCCAAAGAGGTTTCTTTTATGTGGGTTATATCTGTTGGTATTTATCATATTGGAATTCAAACTGAGAGATTTTTTAAATAAGTATTGATTCTTTTTGTTTTTGTTTTTGTTTTTCCTAAGAGAGGGTACCAGTATGTTTCCCAGGCTGGAGCACAGTGGCACAATCTCAGGTCACTGCAACCTCAGCCTCCTGAGCAGCTGAGACTACAGGCATGTGCCACCATACCTGGCTTTTTGTAACTTTTGTAGAGACGTGGTTTTGCCATGATGCCCAGGCTGGTCTTGAACTCCCGTGCTCAAGCAATCTGCCCCCGTGGGCCTCCCAAAGTGCTGGGATTACAAATGTGAGCCACCCCACCTGGCCTGATTAATTTGTAAGAATAGATGCAATACAAATTAACATATATAACATTTTTTAATGAAAAATAACAATTTTCCAAAACAAAATAAAATTAGTGAGAATAGTGGCATTGTTCACATTTTTTGCACATCTCTTCAACACCTAACTTAAAGGAAGACTTGGATTTGGGCTGTTGTGTAATCACACAATATGTAGACTTTGGAAAATATCACTATACACTTCTGCCCGGCGCAGTGGCTCAGGCCTGTAATCCCAGCTCTTTGGGAGGCCGACGCGGGTGGATCGCGAGGTCAGGAGATCCAGACCATCCTGTCTAATACCCTGAAACCCCGTCTCTACTAAAAATACAAAAAATTAGCCAGGCGTGGTGGTAGCAGCCTGTAGTCCCAGCTACTCTGGAGGCTGAGGCAGGAGAATGGCGTGAACCCGGGAGGCGGAGCTTGCAGCGAGCCGAGATCGCGCCACTGCACTCCAGCCTGGGCGACAGAGCGAGATTCCGTCTCAAAATCAATCAATCAATCAATCAATCAATCACTATACACTTATAAGGATGAGAGTGAAAAAAGACAATATTTTGGTGGTATTGTGAATCACCAATTTAGAAAATGGATATATTTAAAAATTGCAAAGGATTTCTCAGCTAGCGCTCAGTTAAGCATATTTTCTCATTAAATTGTCAGCATTTCTTGTGATAACTAGAAGAAAACTTAGCATGGCCTTGCAAATAAATATAGGCGTATTAGGCCGTTTTCGTATTGCTATAAAGAAATGCCTGAGACTGGGTAATTTATAAAGAAAAGAGGTTTAATTGGCTCGTGATTCTACAAGCTGTACAGGAAGCATGATGCTGGCATCTGCTGGGGGTTTGGGGAGGCCTCAGGAAACAACAACCATTGGGAAAGGCAAAGGGGGAGCAAGGTGTCTCACATGGCAGGAGCAGGAGCAAGGTGGGGAGGACGGGAGGTGTTGCGCACTTTTAAATAACCAGATCTCCCAAGCACTCAGTATCACGAGAACAGCACCAAGGGGACGGTGCTAAACCATTCATGAGAAATCCACCCCCATGATTCAGACCCCTCCCACCAGGCCCCACCTCCAACATTGTGGACTACAATTTGACATGAGATTTGGTGGGGACACAGATCCAAACCATATCAATAGGTATTTACACTTTAAGAAAATGAGATTTGTTCTGAAAGTTAGTTACTACATTAATGGTTTGAATTTGGGATGATATATTTGCTCATAGAAACCTTCTTTTAAATCCATATTGAATTCACAACCAGCTTGTAGAAACCCTATATTGACAAATTCACTGAAGACACAGAAATTTTACTAATGCTGCCTTAATCTTTTACATTTCTTTCCTCTTTTTCTTCAATTTTAAGAGATTTTGTGCACATGACCTCCAAAAATAAAAAATGGAAAACACACCTTTAGTGAAGTAGAAGTATTTGAGTATCTTAATGCAGTAACTGATAGTTGTGATCCTGCACCTGGACCAGATCCATTTTCACTTATTGGAGAGAGCACGATTTATTGTGGTGACAATTCAGTATGGAATCATGCTGCTCCAGAGTGTAAAAGTCACCTTTCAATTTATTTCCTTCTTCATCTGTAAGTACTCTGGAAATATTTTGTAAATAGTTTTATCTACAAATAAAGCAGGTGTATGTGCTTCCTCCTCCTGTGTAATTGGATCTAATTTATTTTAATACAGGTCAATTCAAGCCAAAAAATAGTTCTAGCTAGAGTTCTCTATTTTTCACCCCCACATGTTCTTGGGATTTCATTTCATACAGTGTGAACTACTGTGTAATCTGCATGAGTTAGAAGTTTTTGTTTGAAAGACCAAAAAAAATAATAAATCAACAAACACTGGCTTAAAAATAAGAAAGGTGGTTCTTGTATTACAAGAAATCTAAGAGTTCTGGCTTTGGTAGTGGTAGACTGTAACAGACTAATGCTCTCACCAATAAAAATGATAAACTCTGGATAAAAAATAATTTTCTTAAAGACCAGAGTGACCAAAAGTATGAAGACTCCACAGGGGACTTGCCCGTTTAAACAAAGAAATCACAGAATAACAGTGATTTAAAAGTATATACTTCCCAAGTATGCATGAAACATTCTCCAAAGTAGACCATATTCTAGACAATAAGACAATTTTCCACAAATCTCAAAAAATTGAAATCATTCAAAATACATTATCTGATCACAACAGAATGAAAGTAGGAATCAACAACAAGGCCAATCCCCAAAGAAATGAAAAGTATACAAGACACTCCTAAATAATCCATGCATAAAAATAGTAGTCAGCCGGGAAATTAGAAAGTGTTTTGAATTGAATCATAACACATCAAAATATCCAAACATGTAGGATACAGCTAAAGCATTGCTTACAGGGGAATGTATAGCATAACATACTTACGTTAGAAAAAAAAGAAAAGCCTCAAATCAATGATTTAATTTTCCACCTTAAGAAACTAAAAAAGAAGAGCAAATTAAATCCCAAACTAGCAGATGTAAGGAAATGATAAAGATAGAGCCAAAATCAATGAAACTGAGAAGAGAAAAAAAAATAGAGAAGATCAATGAAACCAACAGTTGCTACTTGGAGATCAATAAAATGTGTAAACCTACAGCCAGACTGACAAAGAAAAAAAAGACACAAATTAACCAATACTGAGAATGAAAGAAGTGGTGGTCAAGCACGGCACCCCAGCCAGCTTGAAGACCCTGCACTCCTGCAGCTGGCAGGGGCAGTCACTCCTGGACTTGTCCTTTTAGAAGCTCCAGCTTTACCACTTGCTGGTGGAGCCCAACCACTGCCGCAGGGTCCTCATCACCAACACGCCTGGCAGATCCAAGAGGAGATGGCCCAGGATGGGATGTGGTGAACAGCAGCACCCAAGAGTGTGGGGTGCGTGTGGCTCCACTGCCTGGTTTCTGCAGAGATCCTGTGCCAGTGCCCTGTGCCCGCCACACAGGAGCCAGAGGGGGAGCACCATGCCCCCCACTTCGGAGACTGCTGCACGAAGGGGCCAGGTATCAGACCTTTGCTGTCTCACCTCAGCACTGGCACCAGGAGCCCTGCAAAGCAGCATCTGGGAGATGGACAGCCAGGGGGAAAATAAAGGAAGCTTTCAGAAGTGGCTAGATGAGATATTTGAAATACTGAAAACTAAAAATCCCAACTGCATGGAAGAGCTGGCCTCAGATGTGGTCAGTTCTTACGACAACCTGGACACACAGTGCTGACCCGCATGATGGGATGCACCAAGCTGGGCCCCTGCAACGCACTTGGAGGCTTGGCCCTGCCGCCGCCCCACCTCCCAGCTCCAGCTACAATTGCAGTCTGACCTGGGCAAGCAAGAGCACATGGTGGAGATCCTGATGGAGACCTGAGCCACACGTGCCACAGTGCTGGCCAGACATGGAGGATGGGATCCCGCCAAGGGAACTCTGGCCAGCCTGTAGCCCACTGCCCAGCCTTGCCGGCTCCTCTGCTGATTCCTGCATGGTCTGCAGCCCCAGGCCCATTCCCTTCCTTCCCCTCTGCAGAGGGCAAGCCGGAGGCTGGTCTCAGCAGGAGCTAGGGCTCTCCTCAAAGGCTTTCTGACCTTGGGGCAGGCTTGACATCCCCATGGCCCTGCATCCCTCATCCCTTTTCATGTCTACTGGAGGACAGTGAGCCATAGCTGCAGCAATCTTGTTTAAATTTAGGTAGTTGAATTTTTTAGAATTAAGTTTTGTATGTTTTGAGCAATAAATTGTCTTAAGATATATATTTTAGGTTGCTTCAAGATAGCTGAATAGGAACAGCTCTGGTCTACAGCTCCCAGTGAGATCAACGTAGAAGACAGGTGATTTCTGCATTTCCAACTGAAGTACCTGGTTCATCTCACTGGGACTGGTTGGACAGTGGATGCAGCCCATGGAGGGCAAGCTGAAGCAGAGCGGGATGTCACCTCACCAAGGAAGTACAAAGGGTCAGGGGACTTCCCTTTCCTAGCCAGGGAAAGCTGTGAGTGACTGCCTGGAAGAACAGTACACTCCTGCCCAAATACTGTGCTTTTCCCACAGTCTTCACAACCAGCAGACCAGGAGACTCCCTCCTGTGCCTGGCTGGGGAGGTCCCACGCCCACGGAGCCTTGCTCGCTGCTAGTGCAGCAGTGTGAGATCCACCTGGGATGCTGGAACTTGGCTGGGGGAGGAGCGTCCGACATTGCTAAGGCTTGACTGGGCGGTTCTATGCTCACAGTGTAAACAAAGCGCCAGGGAAGCCTGAACTGGGTGGAGCCCACTGCAGCTCAGCAAGGCCTACTGCCTCTCTAGATTCCACCTCTGGGTGCATGGCATATCTGAACAAAAGGCAGCAGACAGCTTCTGCACACTTAAACGTCCCAGCCTGACAGCTCTGAAGAGAGCAGTGGTTCTCCCAGCACAGCATTCGAGCTCCTATAACGGACAGACTGCCTCCCCAAGTGGGTCCCTGACCCCCGTATAGCCTAACTGGGAGACACCTCCCAATAGGGGCTGACAGACACCTCACACAGGTGGGTGCCCCTCTAGGATGAAGCTTCCAGAGGAAGGATCAGGCAGCAATATTGACTGTTCTGCAGCCTCCGCTGGTGATACCCACGCAAACAAGGTCTGGAGTGGACCTCCAGCAAACTCCAACACACCTGCAGCTGAGGGACCTGTCTGTTAGAAGGAAAACAAAGAAACAGAAAGGAATAGCAGGTGGTGATATCCCCTTTATCATTTTTTATTGTGTCTATTTGATTCTTCTCTCTTTTCTTCTTTATTAGTCTTGCTAGCAGTCTATCAATTTTGTTGATCTTTTCAAAAAACCAGCTCCTGGATCCATTGATTTTTTGAAGGGTTTTTTATGTCTCTATTTCCTTCAGTTCTGCTCTGATCTTAGTTATTTCTTGCCTTCTGCTAGCTTTTGAATGTGTTTGCTCTTGCTTCTCTAGTTCTTTTAATTGTGATGTTAGGGTGTCAATTTTAGATCTTTCCTGCTTTCTTTTGTGGGCATTTAGTGCTATAAATTTCCCTTTACACACTGCTTTAAATGTGTCCCAGAGATTCTGGTATGTTGTGTTTTTGTTCTTGTTGGTTTCAAAGAACATCTTTATTTCTGCTTTCATTTCGTTATGTACCCAGTAGTCATTCAGGAGCGGGTTGTTCAGTTTCCATGTAGTTGAGCTGTTTCGAGTGAGTTTCTTAATCCTGAGTTCTAGTTTGATTGCACTGTGGTCTGAGAGACAGTTTGTTATAATTTCTTTTCTTTTACATTTGCTGTGGAGCGCTTTACTTCCAACTATGTGGTCAATTTTGGAATAAGTGTGGTGTGGTGCTGAAAAGAATGTATATTCTGTTGATTTGGGGTGGAGAGTTCTGTAGATGTCTATTAGGTCTGCTTGGTGCAGAGCTGAGTTCAATTCCTGGATATCCTTGTTAACTTTCTGTCTCATTGATCGTCTAATGTTGACAGTGGGGTGTTAAACTCTCCCATTATTATTGTGTGGGAGTCTAAGTCTCTTTGTAGGTCACTAAGGACTTGCTTTATGAATCTGGGTGCTCCTGTATTGGGTGCATATATATTTAGGATAGTTAGCTCTTCTTGTTGAATTGATCCCTTTATCATTATGTAATGGTCTTCTTTGTCTCTTTTGTTCTTTGTTGGTTTAAAGTCTGTTTTATCAGAGACTAGGATTGCAACCCCTGCCTTTTTTTTGTTTTCCATTTGCTTGGTAGATCTTCCTCCATCCCTTTATTTTGAGCCTATGTGTGTCTCTGCACATGAGATGGGTTTCCTGAAAACAGCACACTGATGGGTCTTGACTCTTTATCCTATTTGCCAGTCTGTGTCTTTTAATTGGAGCATTTAGCCCATTTACATTTAAGGTTAATATTGTTATGTGTGAATTTGATCCTGTCATTATGATGTTAGCTGGTTATTTTGCTCGTTAGTTGATGCAGTTTCTTCCTAGCCTTGATGGTCTTTACAATTTGGCATGTTTTTGCAGTGGCTGGTACCGATTGTTCCTTTCCATGTTTAGTGCTTCCTTCAGAAGCTGTTTTAGGGCAGGCCTGGTGGTGACAAAATCTCTCAGCATTTGCTTGTCTGTAAAGTATTTTATTTCTCCTTCACTTATGAAGCTTAGTTTGGCTGGATATGAAATTCTGGGTTGAAAATTCTTTTCTTTAAGAATGTTGAATATTGGCCCTCACTCTCTTCTGGCTTGTAGAGTTTCTGCTGAGAGATCCGCTGTTAGTCTGATGGGCGTCCCTTTGTGGGTAACCCGACCTTTCTCTCTGGCTGCCCTTAACATTTTTTTCCTTCATTTCAACTTTGGTGAATCTGACAATTATGTGTCTTGGAGTTGCTCTTCTTGAGGAGTATCTTTGTGGTGTTCTCTGTATTTCCTGAATTTGAATGTTGGCCTGCCTTGCTAGACTGGGGAAGTTCTCCTGGATAATATCCTGCAGAGTGTTTTCCAACTTGGTTCCATTCTCCCCATCACTTTCAGGTACACCAATCAGACGTAGATTTGGTCTTTCCATATAGTCCCATATTTCTTGGAGGCTTTGTTCATTTCTTTTTATTCTTTTTTCTCTAAACTTCTCTTCTCACTTCATTTGATTCATTTGATCTTCCATCTCTGATACCCTTTCTTCCAGTTGATTGAATCAGCTACTGAGGCTTGTGCATTCGTCACGTAGTTCTCGTGCCATAGTTTTCAGCTCCATCAGGTCCTTTAAGGACTTCTCTGCATTGGTTATTCTAGTTAGACATTCATCTAATTTTTTTTCAAGGTTTTTAATTTCTTTGCCATGGGTTCGAACTTCCTCCTTTAGCTCAGAGTAGTTTGATCGTCTGAAGCCTTCTTCTCTCAACTCATCAAAGTCATTCTCCATCCAGCTTTGTTCCTTTGCTGGTGAGGAGCTGCGTTCCTTTGGAGGAGGAGAAGCGCTCTGATTTTTAGTGTTTCCAGTTTTTCTGCTCTGTTTTTTCCCCATCTTTGTAGTTTTATCTACCTTTGGTCTTTGATGATGGTGACATACAGATAGGTTTTTGGTGTGGATGTCCTTTCTGTTTGTTAGTTTTCCTTCTAACAGTCAGGACCCTCAGCTGCAGGTCTGTTGGAGTTTGCTGGAGGTCCACTCTAGACCCTGTTTGCCTGGATGTCAGCAGCGGTGGCTGCAGAACAGCGGATACTGGTGAACTGCAAATGCTGCTGCCTGATCTTCCTTTGGAAGTTTTGTCTCAGAGGAGTACCCGCTGTGTGAGGTGTCAGTCCGCCCCTACTGGGGGGTGCCTCCCAGTTAGGCTATTTGGGGGTCAGGGACCCACTTGAGGAGGTAGTCTGCCCGTTCTCAGATCTCAAGCTGCGTGCTGGGAGAACCACTACTCTCTTCAAAGCTGTCAGACAGGGACATTTAAGTCTGCAGAGGATTCTGCTACCTTTTGTTTGTCTGTGCCCTGCCCCCAGAGGTGGAGCCTACAGAGGCAGGCAGGCCTCCTTGAGCTGTGATGGGCTCCACCCAGTTCGAGCTTCCCGCAGCTTTGTTTACCTACTCAAGCCTCGGCAATGGTGGGCGCCCCTCCCCCAGCCTCACTGCTGCCTTGCAGTTTGATCTCAGACTGCTGTGCTAGCAATGAGCAAGACTCCGTGGGCGTAGGACCCTCTGAGCCATGTGCGGGATATAATCTCCTGGTGTGCCGTTTGTTAAGCCATTGGAAAAGCACAGTATTAGGGTGGGAGTGACCCAATTTTCCAGGTGCCATCTGTCACCCCTTTCTTTGACTAGGAAAGGGAATTCCCTGACCCCTTGTGATTCCCAGGTGAGGCGATGCCTCGCCCTGCTTCGGCTCATGCACAGTGCGCTGCACCCACTGTCCTGCACTCCCCAGTGAGATGAACCCGGTACCTCAGTTGGAAATGCAGAAATCACCCGTCTTCTGTGTCGCTCACACTGGGAGCTGTAGACTGGAGCTGTTCCTATTCGGCCATCTTGGCTCCTCCCTCCTATTTTATTCTTTTCAGAGTGATCTGTTGACACCTTTACTGAGTTTGTTCCTACTGCAGGACTCTTTGATTTTCTGGAGTGCAACCAGTTTGAGTCTTTTGATGTAACACATTTAAACAGGGAAATTTCTGCTGTCTGCAGAACACGACCTATATTTCTGTCTCTTCCCTGCCTGCAGTCTTCCACACCTCATAATGTTATTCTTTTTTTCTCTTTACTGGGCAGTTTTATCTGGCAATAGCAACTAAATTTATAGCAACTGAAAGGCAGGAAAAGTCCTTATTTACTGAGATGAAATAGAGGACTTTTTGCAGGGACTCCTGATCAGCAGCTGTGCTTATGACTGGAGAGATTATTTTGATATGATGGAAGGGATTATTGTCCTGATTTCAGCACTGCTATCTCTGGTTTCACTTTCCTTGCAGCAGAAGCAAGAGACTAATTGTAGGAAGAGCATTAGCCTGCGTAGACTATGCTTAATTAACATCATTTCTGTGGTCTTCAGTTTCCATTTAGTTTAATGAGATTGTTGAACTCAAATCTCAATCACTGGATTCTAATTTGTTTATATATTTCCTATCTCCCTAATATTTTAAAGGATCTAGGGGAATTATGCACGTTAACATAGTAATTAGAATACCATTTTATAATTCCTATAAAAGCCTGTTAACTGGTAGCCTCCTTAGTTGAGTCCTGTAGGTTTTGAGGGGCAGGAAGAGATGGTTTTTTTAGTGGACTGATATATGAGCAAAACAAGATTGCATATGAATTTAATACTCAATAAGGTATCCAGGCTTACTCACATGCTCCTAGTGGGTATATGTACTAATACTAAGTTTGTTGATACAGTCTTTTGAAAGAGTTAACTATAAGCATTTCATAAAGTGTTTATAAAACACTGATCTAGCTTAGTGTTTGAGAGCAGAGGAGAGAATTGCTTGTGAGAAAAAGTTTATAAAAAAGAGAAACTACAGGGGTATTTTTTGAAAAATGACAAATCAAAATTCCTCATGGGATTGTCAGTCATTTTTTGTCATCAGTAAGAGGAAGAATAAATAGCAAGATAATGATGTTAAGGTAGATCTAAATGTGCTAATGTGAAAAAATGTCCAGGAAGTCCTAAGCGGAAAAGAGGAAGATGTAAATTATGTAGTATAATACCACTTAACAGTTTTTTAAAAAGATACATATGTTTACCCCAAGCACATTACTTTTATGATTTATTACTTGTTATCTTCTAGGATTTCCATTATAAAATATGAAACGTAGTGAGCATTTTTTTGGTTTTTTTTTGAGACGGAGTCTTGCTCTGTTGCCCAGGCTGGAGTGCAGTGGCATGATCTCGGCTCACTGCAAGCTCTGCCTCCCGGGTTCCCGCCATTCTCCTGCCTCAGCCTCCCGAGTAGCTGGGGCTACAGGCACCCGCCACCATGCCAGGCTAATTTTTTTGTATTTTTAGTAGAGACAGAGTTTCACCATGTTAGCCAGGATGATCTTGATCTCCTGACCTTGTGATCCATCTGCCTTGGTATCCCAAAGTGCTGGGATTACAGGCGTGAGCTGTAGTGACCATTCTTGTACATGCATCCTTACATACTTGTGCAAATATATATGTAGATTAAATTATTTTTTTTTCTAGTTGGAGCCTTGCTCTGTCACCCAGGCTGGAGTCCAGTGACATGATCTCGGCTCACTGCAACCTCCATCTCCAGGGTTCAAGCAATTCTCCTGGCTCAGCCTCCCGAGTAGCTGGGATTACAGGTGCGACACCATGCCAGGCTAATTTTTGTATTTTTAATAGAGATGGGGTTTCACCATGTTGGCCAGGCTGGTCTCGAACTCCTGACCTCGTGATCCACCCGCCTCAGCCTCCAAAAATGCTGGGATTACAGGCGTGAGCCACCATGCCTGGCAAAGAATGACACTGGGTGTATTAAAAAGTATGATAAGTGACATGATCACAGTAGACATTTCCTCCAATAGAATATTGGGAGAAAGCCTAATGGAAACCAATGAAAAATAAGAAACACACGTAGCCTTTGGAACATAGCCTTTCTCACCTAGTGGAGGAGGAGCTGAGACTTGAGTAAGACAGTCAGATGAAGTAAGGCAGTATTCGGGAATGTTTGTGTGAGCTAAGACTATACATCCTGAGTGATACACGTGTGTTGGACCATGTATACATGGGTCTCCATTAGTGAAGCCGCACTGAGTAGAGAATAGTTTTCTACCTAAAGCATCTTTACTCCATGATGAATCAGTTATGCATGGAGGAGAAAGAGCTAACACGTGTACTGAAATATCTGCTACATTATCTACTCAACCCTAATTCTACTCACCTTTCTACAGCCTTTGATATTTAGAGTTACTCCGTCCTCACACAACTCTTTCCAACTCCAGCACTGGAAACAATTGACTCCTGTCTCTACCAAACTGTACGTCCCAGATTCTTGTCTTAGGAGCCATAGAACTCCAAAGGTTTATGGCTATAACTGTGTTTTGACATAATTGGCTTTCTTTATAGTCCTACGTGATTTACTTATGCATTACAAAAAACAGCTCTGAGAAGGGATTCATAATTCTGACCAGCCAGGCAAAGGTGTATACATGATACATAAAGATATTAAGAACCCCTCATGACTATTCACAATAGCAAAGACATGGAATCAATTTCAATGCCCATCAGTGATAGACTGGATAAAGAAAATGTGCTACATATCCACCATGGAATACTATGCAGCCATAAAAAAGAATGAGATCATGTCCTCTTCAGGGACATGGATGGATCTAGAGGCCATTATCCATTGCAAACTAACGCAGGAACAGGAAACCAAATACTGCATGTTCTCACTTATAAATGGGAGCTGAATGATGAGAACACATGGACAGATGTGGGGGAACAACACATACTGGGATCTATTGGAGGGTAGAGGATAGGAAGAGGGAGAGGATTAGGAAAAATAACTAATGGTACTAGGCTTAATACTTGGGTGGTGAAATAATCTGTACAACAAACCCCCATGACACAAGTTTACCTATGTAATAAACCTGCACATGTACCCCTAAACGTAAAAGTTAATAAAAGAACCCCTGCATGGATATGGATCATGTATTTCCATTCAGATCTTCCTTTCATTAATTTTACATGCCCCTCTTCAACAGTCTCATTGATTCCTGTGATTTTGACCATCTCCCATCCATTATCTTTTACAAAAGTCCTCTTGTGCCTTTTTTGGAAGTCCATTTTCATAATCAACAAATTACCTATATTCCCAATCTTTTCCTAAACATTCTCACACCTCCTGGCCTTCACTAAACCCCATCTGTCCCATGCCCACATCTTTCTCAGTTTAAAAAACAACAACAATGAAAAACTTTCGCTGCTTAACCTTGATGGCGCTATCCCTTCCCCACCCAATGGTTTCCTATTGCTACTGTAACAAATTATCTTGTGGTTTAAAACAACACAAATCTATTCTTTCACATTTCAGGAGATCGTAAGTCCACAGTGAGTCTTACAGGATGAAAACCAAGGTGTTGAAAAGACTGACTCCTTCTGAAAGCTCCAGTGGAGAACCTGTTTCTTGCTTCTAAGGGGCACTAGCATTCCCTGGCTCATGGCAGCAACACTCTGAGCTCTGTTTTCATCATTGCCTTCTGGTCTATTACCTTCCTCTTATAAGGATCCCTGTGATCATATCAGGTTCACCTAGCTACTCCAAGATACTCTTTCCATCTCAATATCCAACTGCAAAGTCCTAAACTGCAAGGTAACACTCACAGATTCTGGGATGTAGGATGAGGACATTTTGGGGGAACATTATTCAGCCTACCACGCACTCCTCCTTTTCTCTCATTCTTGGATTGTTTTTTATTGTTATTTTTTAAATTGGCTCATAATGATTGTACACATTTATGGGATACAGCAAAGGAAACAACAGAGTGAAGAAAAAAACCTACAGAATGTGAGAAAATGTTTGCAACCTATGCCTTTGACAAGGGGTTAATATCCAGAATATCTGAGGAACTCAAACAACTCAGCAAAATAAAACAAATAATATTATTTAAAAGTGGGCACAAGACCTGAACAGACATCACTCAAAAGAAGACATAGAAATGGCCAACGAATATAAAACAAAATGCTCAACATTCTTAGTCATCAGAGAAATACAAAATAAAACCAGAGAGAGATATCACCTCACCCTAGTTATCAGAGCTCTTATCAAAAAGATAAAAGATAACAAATGCTGCTGAGGATGTGGAAAATAGAGACCTCTTATACACTGTTAGGGAATCCAAATTAATATGGCCATTATGGGAAATAGTATGGAGGTTTCTCAAAAAATTAAAAGCAGAACTACCATATGATCCAGCAATCCCACTACTGGGTATATACCCAAAAGAAAGGAAACCAGTATGATGAAAAGATATCTGCACTCTCACATTCAATGATGCACTATTCACAATAGCCAAGGTATGGAATCAACCCAAGTGTTCACCAATGGACGAATGGATAAATAAAATGTGGTATATATACACAAGGGAATACTATTCAGCCATAAGAAAGAATGAAATCCTATCATTTGCAGCAACATGGATGAATCTAGGGGATATTATATTAAATGAAGTAAATCAGGCACAGAAAGACAAATCCTGTATGATATCAGTCATGTGCAATCTAAAAAAGCTCATCTCATAGAAGTAGAGAGTAGAATACTGGTTACCAGAGGTTGGGGTAGGGAGAGACAATGGGAGATGGAGAGAGATTGGTTAAAGGGCACAGGGTCACAGATACATAAGAATAAATTCATCCTTGAATACTTAACCCTCTGCCCTACATCTGTCACTCCTACATCCATATTCATTGCTAATCCTGGGGCTAACTCTTGATTGCTTTCTTCTCACTACTAACCTTAAGAAAGGAAGTAACCAAAATCCAATACATGAGCAACTGTTCATTCCATCTCCAATATCTTTGTTAATTGTCCACTTTATCCACCCAGTCAGGGCCACCATCAAACCTCACTTGGATGTCAGCAAAAGCTCCCTGGCTGGTCTCCCCTCTCCATTATTGCTTTAATCTAGTCTCCATACTATACACAGATTTACATTTTTTGAATATATATCTAATTGTCCTTCCCTTTTTAAAAATCTTACAATGGCATGACATCTCAATTCACGATAAGGAAATTGGTTCTTCACATTCCCTGTGCACTGTACACATCGCCTGCAATTGCCCTTCAACACAGAGAGCAGGCATTTCATTAGCTGACCTTCCCACACACATTCTTGCAAAGAGGAAAAGTCAAGCAGGGTGTTTGGAGGTGAGTTGCCATCATCCACCGCCTTTGTCTGGAAGGAAGCGCAGGGCCTCACACGCGGGATCCATCGGAAGCCCAAGCATTGTCAAGCTCTGCTGCTGCACCTGGGTCAGCAAGGTGGGCTCTGCCAGCGAAACTCGTTAGAAACAATGCAAATGGGGAGTAAACATGGCCTTGCCCATGAAGGGGAAGCTGGTCAAAAGCATTTTGTCCCGGAACCCCGCAGCCCTCCCCATGCTCTGGGCGCGGAGCACAAGGATTGGTCACTCCTCTTTGCACTGCGCTTTTCCTCTTATTTCAGTTTTCTTCGAGATCAAATCTGGTTTGTAGATGTGCTTCGGGAGGATGGGGGTCTCTTCTCCGAGAAGCCGGGAGCCTGTTGGGCAGCCGGCGCCCGGTCTCCCCTTCTGCTGCGGAGGATCCCTGCTGGCGGTCGTGGTGCTGCTCGCGCTGCCGGTGGCCTGGGGTGAAACGCTGGGGGGCGTGGGGAGGCGCCCGGGCTGACGAGGCACCCAGGGCCCCGCAGAGAACTCGCGTGCCGCGCTGGGCTGCGCTGCTCTGCGCGCCCGGGTCCAAAGGCAGCGCGATGGGTGGGCTGAGCGCGCTACCTGGCAGGGCGGCGGGTCTGGGATCCTTCTGCGCACTGGAGACCCTCGCTGCCTCTAGGTAAGCGTGGAGTTCCCACGTGCAGGGGCTTAAGTCGTGACGAGCGCAGTGGAAGGCGCAGATGCTGAGCGGGTGCCGCACGAAATTCCTTGCCTTTGTGTATTCACAGCCTCGGCTGGCTATAGCCGAGCGTGGCGTCGATCCTAGCGAAACGGGACTTGGGGATCCGACAAACCTGAGTTCTGGTCCTAGAAACTTAACTGTGAGGCAAGTTAGCACACCTAAGTCTGTTTGCTCTTCTGTAAAATGGGGACACTGGTATCTCTGCATTGTGGAGTTGCTGCCTCAGTGGCATAAAGCCTGTCGAGTATCTAACACAGGGCCTGTCCCCGAGTCCATTTCTATCCCCCAACCGTTACCTCTGCACTTTGCTCCCAGTGGTGTTTAGACAAGCAGTCCTAGGGATGTCCTGCATGGAACTGTCCTCGTCCCCTACCCCAAGCCACCACCGCCATCATCATGATGCACTTGATTGACAGCATACTTTAAGACAGATGCATGCCAGGCACTTGGGGATTAGAAGAGCAAGGGAAGCCCCAGAACATGCAATGTAACCGCTGCAGGTAGAAGGGACAGTAGATATGTTTACAATTTGCATTTTAGTGATGTGTTTAGTACAAAATAAAGCCTATTATAACTACTATGGAAATTTTGAGGCCACATCTCTTCCTTTTTTTAACTTCAAGTAGGTAAACATCTTCAGTTAGAACCCTTCTATTATTAGTTTTGGGCTCCCCAGAAGTCTTCTTGGTTGCCTAGACTCACTGGCAACATCTCACTTGAAGTGACAGTTTTGGTTGTTTTGGTCCTGTCTCTTCCTGACAACTCAGGGTTCGTCCTTCTCTGCCACTAGACGTTTTGCATTCATTATTTGAGTGTTCCTTCTTCTCTAAAAGAGTAAGGGGAAAAGAAAACCAAGTTCCCCCAAGAGTTGTTATTAATATTTGATCTCCTTAGGCACCAGAAAGTAACCTGTCTAGTGAAGAGATATGATAAAACTTACAATTTTATTTTTAGGAGAGAAGCATGCCCAGTAAGTTAAGCAATCTGTTGTCAGTGCTTACTGAGGTTCTCACAATAACCTCCAAATGTGAAACAGCCTAAACTAAACTACCTAGAAATTTTGTTGCTGGAGTAATTTCAATTTTAAAATGCTTATGGATGCTTCCGGTGTGCACAGTCCTTTGGAATTTAAAAGAAATGTAAGAGAAAGAGCTATGCTCCCAAGGTGTATGCATATAGAAGTAGGTGGTGGAGTTTTATGAAATCTACTTTTTAGGAAGCCAGTGTTCTGGTTTTTCCAGACTCTGCTACTTACCAACTGGGGCTGTGGACCCAGCAACTTAAGTCACATCACTGACCTTCAGTGTCCACGTGTATAAAATGAGCATGACTGACATCCTGATTTCTGAGAGAGGTATTTTGAAAATCAGGTGGGGTAGTGCATGTGACAGCGTTTTGTAATCTGAAAACCCTCATGCATGTCTGAAAAACCATGACTAAGCAGTCGTGCAAGACTGCAGGATCACTGAAAAGGGAGAAATCTCAACTCCTATGATCAGGAAAGGGTGAGGGAAAAGAGTATGACTTTACTAGCACTTGAAGAGTGAATCCAGAAACAGGTTGCATAGGACAGTTTATGGGAATATTTATATATAAAAAATAACAGAGGAACTAGGATTGTTTTGTCATTAGAGGGTACTCCTACTACCCATGAAGTGGTATGGTGCTATTTGAAAGAGAACTTAGATTAGCTGCAAATAGATATTGCAAACTTAGGGCAACTACTGAAAAAAGTGAAAAAAAGAAGTACAATTGATATGCCAGTAAGGAAGAGTGAATTGCATCATATAAAATGCTCAGTTAAAACAATAAACGGGGCCAGGCGCAGTGGCTCACACCTATAATCCCAGCACTTTAGGAGGCAGGGTAGATAACTTGAGGTCAGGACTTTGAGACCAGCCTGGCCAACATGGTGAATACCCATTTCTACAAAAATCCAAAAATTAGCTGGGCATGATGGTGGGTGCCTGTAATCCCAGCTACTCAGGAGGCTGAGGCAGGAGAATCTCTTGAACCTGGGAGGCAGAGGTTGCAGTGAGCCGAGATCATGCCACTACACTCCAGCCTGGGCGAAAGAGTGAGACTCTGTCTCAAAAATAAAAATAAAATAAAATAAAGGTCAGGAAAAGAATGCAAGACAAAAAATAGAAACAGAGAACAAGAGAAGAAAGACAACAAATAGAAACAAGTAACATATTAAACCAACTATATCAACCATCATTTTGAGTGTCAATGATCTAAAGGCACCAATTGAAACAGATCATCAGAGTCGATCAACAAACAAAACTCAACTATATATTGTGTACTCCCTATAAGACCATTTTAAATATAGACAATATATATTAAAAGTAAATGGGTAAAGATATACCATGCTAATGCTAGTCACAGAAAGCAGGAGTAGCTGTGTTAATTTCAAACACAGCAGACTTCAGACGAAGGAAAATTATTAGGAATAAAGAGGGTCATCATATAATGATAAAGGGGCTAATTCTCCAAGAAGGCATAACAATATCTAATATGTATCCATCTGACAGAGAAACAAAATATGTGGGGCAAAGCTGATAGAACTGCAAGGAGAAATAGATGAATGCACTATCATAGTTGGAGACTTCAGCACCTTTATCTTTTCTGATATCAGAAAAGATAAAGGTGCTGAAGTCTCTTTATCAGAAATGGGCAGATTCAGCAGGCAGAAAATCCATAAGGACATACTTGAACTCAACAGCACCATCAATCCACTTGGATATAATTGACATATACAGACGACTTCATCCAACAACAGCAAAAGACATTCTCTGGCTCACATTCATGGGGATAGACCACATTGTGAGCCATAAAAATAGTATGCTAATTAAGCTTTACCAGGGAGTGTTTAACATAGGGTAGACTCTGGCGCCCTCACATGGTCCTCATGTAGGATCTGATTTGGTTTTCCCTGCTAGGTAAAGGTGCAAGATAGAAAGAAGGGTAATTCCAATTTGCTTTCTGTGCTTTGTGATGTATTCTGGTTTACATATGCTCGGATGAGTAGATGTATGATTTATATTATCTACTGTTATCTAAAATAAACTTCACATTCGGACAGGCAACATCAAAACTGTCCTACACAGAAATACTGGGTGAAGATCACTTAATAAGACGAACTCCAGAAAACAAGAAAATGGCAGAGTTGACAATCCCTCTCACCCTCCCTGCAAAGACACATGTATACAAATTTCTTTTGTCAGAGACATTAAGAGAAACAAATGCTGTCAATCTAATCACAACTGATCACAACTTGATGAAACCAAAAAATCTAGAAAGTATCATGAAGACAGTTGAAATACAGCTTTACATTCACTATTGTGACCAGAGGAACTCACTGTGGCTGTTTTTTGTCCCCTTAGATGTCAACTAATGATTGTGTTAAGTGATCATGATTAACAGAGCATTTAAAATGTTTATTTTATCTGTTTTACATTTCAAAAATTTATATTTAGGCATATAATTTATATTTGTGTACATATATAATTTATTACTTTATATTTTTGAAAGTGCATGCTCTTTTTTTAAGCTGACAGACATGCCTAAGCAAAGCAAGTGCAAGTCTGTTCCTTAAAGGGTAAGTATGCAGAATGGAAAGCAGAGTGTACTTCGGGTTGACAGCTCATATTTGCGCAGACATGAAAGTGATGATGTGTTAATTGTGCGTATAGCACAGAATAAATCAGCTTGCTTTGAATGGAAGATCTGAACCAGGAGTGCATGAAATTGGGCTGAGTCATACAAGAAAAAACCCGAAATGAGATAACAAAATATACCCACTAGAATGGCTAAAATGGAAAAGATTGACCAAACCAAGTGTTGGCAATAAAGTGGAGAAGCTGGAATTATAATATACTGCTATTCGGCAGGTAAAATTACAACATAACTTTAGAAAATAGTTCAACCGTTTCTTAAAACCTTACACACACACCTGTCATATTACTCAGCATTTTACTCTTAGGTTTTTACCCAAGAGAAATGAAATCATATGTCCACAAAAAGACTTGTACATGAATTTTCATAACAGTTTTGTTTGTAATAGCCAACGAGTGGGAACAATCCAAATGTCCCTCAACAAGTGAATGGATAAACTAAATTAACATATATTTATACAATTGAATATTACCCAGCAACAAAAGGAAACAATTTGTATATGTGCAGCAACCTAGATAGAACTCTAATTATGCTGTGTGAAGGCTAAAACATTTAAAACAATCGGAGTGATTTCCTTTATATGATAGGATATAAACGAAGTGATTCGGGTTATATGAAATTTTAGAAAGTCAAATCAATCTGTAGTAAGAGAAAACAGGTCGAAGGTTGCCTAGAGAAGGAAGTGGATGTTTGGATGCATTACAGAAGGACATGAGGGAACTGTGTGGGGTGAAGGGTATGATGGAAATGTTCATTGTCTTCATTTGGTGATGGTTTCACAGGGCATATATATAAGTAATCAAATTGTACACTTTAAATACTCATCAACCATTTTATGTAATACATCTTAATAAAGCTATAAAAACTTTTTAAACTTATGGTAGGTCTTGAGTTTATGGAGTTTATATTAATATATTTATCATAAGAACCAGCCACAAATTGAGGGATTGGTAATAAAGAGGGAAAGGAAACTACATCAAGCATTCTTTGTTGAAGGCTCATATGTTCCTTTTTTGGGCTACTACGCAAATTTATATTATTACCTATACTATGCATATACTACTATAAAGGTAAGAATATTAGGTAATTAAGGGGAAGGAACTTCTTTCTTTCCAAGAATGGTTCATTATATTTGCTTTGTTGCTTTGATCTAGTTCTAACCTCTCATTGCAAGCTTTGTTGTGACGTTTACCCTCTCTTAATACAGCTTTTGGCGCTAGGAGAGCTCCACTTGGAATCTCTTCCTTTGTCTAGCATCAATGCATAAGACACATATCAAAATTGTATTTCATCCCACATATCAACTAGAGGAAAGGTGAATGCATAACACTGAAAGTCACGGAACTGTTTTATTCGTGTTTTTTTTTTTATACAGTGGTTCTCAAAGTGCTGTTATCTATCCAAATCAGCTGTGAAACTTTTAAAAAATATAGACTCCTGGGCTCTAACCCAGACCCACTAAATCAGAGATTCTGGGGACATAGCGTGGACTCTTCATTTTTTTTTAAGTTTTATAAGTAATTCTTCAATTATTTGATCATTGCAACAAATATGCATTGAGTGCTTATAACTGAGTGTTAAGCACAAGGACTAGGTATTAATTTAGAAGTACAAAAAACATGTCATCATTTGCCCTCAAATTATACATATCTAATATCTTTTGAGAGAAATAGATACTTCTAAAAGCACACAAAATTAAAAAGCACAAATTGCAACCACAAACAATTATTGATATGAAAGGAAAAGGAAAGGGCCTGACTAGAAATTATAGGGTGGGGCAGAGGGAAGTAGTTTAGATTCCAAATCCCTGAGAGGGTCAGGGAAGGCATCAGACTAGATTGGGTGCGTTCAGGGTGGTATGGCCATAGACAGGCCAGGGAAGGCTTCGATAAGAAGGTGGTATTTTAGCAAACACCTGGAGGAAGAATTGAAGTCATAGCCAAGATAAAAGTGCATCACACAAAAGGAATGTCATAGACAGGGGAAAAATGTGTGTCTTCAGGAAACTGAAAAAGGGGAAAGGGCCACCACACCTTGGTGAGGGGACCCAGTGGTAAGAGATGAAGCAGGAAACATAGACAAGGGCATCTTTGTACAAAGCCAAAAGTTGGTTCTTTTAAGTCTAATAAAATTGACCTCTGGCCTCAATCTACCCAATTAATTAGTGGAAGGTGTGGGAAGGAACAGAAATGAAAACAAAACAAACAAGATATTTCCAAAACTAGAGTAAGATGCTATTCTTTTTCAACAGATATATCTTCTTGATTACATACTGTTTGACTCTGTGATTTTTGTTGCTTTAAATTAAATCTACAAGGCCTTAAGGGGCCTAGCTGAGTCTACTATATAATATGAAATATCTATGAGAAAATACGTCTTCTTTATGGTAAAGTATAGCTTTAGTTGTTGAGCTTTGTTCACTCTTTGTGCTCAAGATTGACGTGGCGACAGACTTCCAACATTGGTGGCTGCTACTGAGGGCCAAAGAGGAGATGTGTACTCCCACTGAATCTGAGTGTCCACTGAGTGTGAAGGTGGATGGTAAAATGCATGAGTGTATCTTACACTCATACTTTACAAGAAAGTATGATAAATGAGGATGGGAGAGAAGCTACAACACAGGCACTTACTGATTAACTAAAATTTGAAGCTGTGAATTGCAGCTTCCCCTTTAGTGAAAGATGATATAAATAGCTTAGTTTTCTTCAAACTAGCAGAGACTTTTTAAATGGATGGATGCTGATTTTTTTTTTAAAAAAAGAGCCCATTTCTAAGGCATGTTTTAAAGCAGGTGTCCTCAACCCCTGGGGCATAAACCGGTACTGTCCGGTGGCCTGTTAGGAACTGAGCAGAACAGTAGGAGGTGAGCGGCCAAGCATTACTGCCTGAGCTCCACCTCCTGTCAGATCACTGGCAGCATTAGATTCTCATAGGAGCAGAAACCCTATTGTGAACTGTGCATACGAGGGATCTAGGTTGCATGTTCCCTATGAGAATCTAATGCCTGATGATCTGAGTGGAACAGTTCCATCTCAAAACCATTTCCCTGCACCCTCCATTCACGTAAAAATTGTCTTCCACAAAACGAGTCTCAGGTGCCAAAAAGATTGGGGACCAAAGTTCTAAAGGAATCAATCTCTTTGCTATTATTGTTATTATTATTGTTAAGATGGAGTCTTGCTCTGTCACCCAGGCTGGAGTGCAGTGGCACAGTCTTGGCTCACTGCAACCTCTGCCTCCTGGGTTCAAATGATTCTCCTGCCTCAGTCTCCCAAGTAGCTTGGACTACAGGCACATGCCACCATGCTCTGCTAATTTTTTGTATTTTTAGTAGAGACGGGGTTTCACCATGTTGGCCAAACTGGTCTCGAACTCCTGACCTCCAGTGACCCACCCACCTTGGTCTCCCAAAGTGCTGGAATTACAGACATGAGCCACCACACCCAGCTCCCTTGGCTATTAGTGAAGTCTTCTTTTTCTTTTTTGATCACATCTATGCAGTATATTTGAGAGAAAGAGGAAGTAGAGTGGGAATTTCAGCAGGGCATGGTGGCTCACACCTGTAATCCCAGGACTTTGGGAGGCAGAGGTGGGCAGATCACCTGAGGTCAGGAGTTTGAGCCTGGCCAACACGGTGAAACCTTGTTTCTACTAAAAATTCAAAAATTAGCCGGATGTGATGGCAGGCGCCTGTAATCCCATCTACTCAGGAGGCTGAGGCAGGGAGAATTGCTTGAACCTGTGAGGCAGAGGATCGCACCACTGCACTCCAGCCTGGGTGACAGAGGGAGACTCTGTCACAAAAAAAAAAAAAAAAAAAAAAAAAAAAAAGTATGGTAATTTCTCCATTAACTTCGATGCTGCTGTGGTCTTGATCCCCAGATCAATGCAATGTCCCGGAATGGCTTCCATTTGCCAGGCCTACCAACCTAACTGATGACTTTGAGTTTCCCATTGGGACATATCTGAACTATGAATGCCGCCCTGGTTATTCCGGAAGACCGTTTTCTATCATCTGCCTAAAAAACTCAGTCTGGACAAGTGCTAAGGACAAGTGCAAACGTAAGTAACTCTGGAGTGGGAACCCCTCTGTTAGTCAAACATCTGTAAGATCTGATTCAATTTGTTCAAATTTTGTAACTGAGTTGCATACAACAATTAGTTTGCTAAGGTGCAATACATATGAGAATTATTCTTGTAGATCATACCTTGTTACTGCTTTGAGTTCCTGGCACCTTCATTACAAGTTTATTTCATGAGAAACCGTCATTGCAGGACATGATTGAGGGAAAACCCCCATTCACTGGGGGTCTCCCATTTTCATGACTAAAATTAAGTAATGAATGACTTGGGACAAGAAAGAGAAGTGGATTAAATAACTAAAAGATGCGACAATCTTGGGCCTTGAGATCTTTGGATTATATCAGTTGAATTGAATTACAGATAATAACGAAGTTTACATTTTTCTGGGAGGCATAATATGGGGATGAAACAGATCTGAAAGGAAAGCTTTTTTTGAAAGGGAGCTGATCCTGAGGCAGTCTGGTGAGTTTCCTCAAGGTAGCAAAATCTGTGGAACCATCAGAACTGCATGTGTTCCTCAGTAAGCTATAGGCAGGTTGAGACCTTATGTACTAAAAAAAAATTCAGTTTACTCTACTTGGCTTCAAATTTCTGTTTCTTTCCTGTAGGTAAATCATGTCGTAATCCTCCAGATCCTGTGAATGGCATGGCACATGTGATCAAAGACATCCAGTTCAGATCCCAAATTAAATATTCTTGTCCTAAAGGGTGAGTTGGCATCTCTTGAACCAACATCTCTTGGTTCAAGGGTTCTAACACAGCCATACTACCTTCTAGTCACATCTCAGAAAGGACAACTAAACTATTACCATCTGCTCTTTAAAGGCTTCAACACAGGTGCTTAGCTCCTGACTGAAATGGACAAAGGTATGACAAGATCAGGGGGAAAATCATCTGTATCCTTGCTGGAAACCAAGGCAGAGCATATATGAAAAGTGTGGCATTCATTGGGTGGGAAGGAAGAAAATGGGGGAAGAGTATAGTCAAAGCACACAATCAGCCTTAACACAGATTAGACATTGCTCAAAGAAAGGGAAGGCCATTGAGCAGCTGTGTGAGAGAAATCTTAATGGTCATAGCACAAATAGTTTGCTAGGGCTGCTGTAACAGAGTACTCCAAAACAGGCGGCTTAATACAAACAAAGTTTTTGGAGTTCTGTTCCGGAGGCTGGAAGTACAAAATCAAGATATTGGCAGAGCCAGAGCCAGATCCATAGCCATGCTCCCTCCAAAACCTGTAGGGATGGATCCTTCTTTGCTTCTTCCAGTTTCTGAAGCCCCAGGCCTTGGCGTGTGGCAGCAGAACTCCAGTTTCTGTCTCTGTCTGTCCTCACATGGCTGTCTTCCCTCTGGGTCTCTGTCCTCCTATGCTGTTCTCTTATCTGTGCATGTCTGTGTCCAAAGTTCTTTTTTTTTTTTTTTTTTGAGATGGAGTCTGGCTCTGTTGCCCAGGCTGGAGTGCAGTGGCGAGATCTCGGCTCACTGCAAGCTCCACCTCCCGGGTTCCTGCCATTCTCCTGCCTCAGCCTCTTGAGTAGGCTGGGACAACAGGTGCCCACCACCATTTTTTTTTTTTTTTTTTTTTTTGTATTTTTAGTAGAGACAGGATTTCACCATGTTAGCCAGGATGGTCTCGATCTCCTGATCTCATGATCCGCCCACCTCCCGGCCTCCCAAAGTGCTGGGATTACAGGCATGAGCCACCGCACCCAGCCCAAAATTCTCTCTTTCAATAAGGACACCAGTCATATTGGATTGGGGCCCACACTAACAACTTCATCTTAACTTGATTGCCTCTGCAAAGACCGTATTTCCAAATAAGGTCACATTAATAGGAACTGGGGATTAAGACATCCATATATTTCAGGGGTGAGGGGAACATAATTCTCATGCATTGCTGGTAGGAATGCAAAATGGCACCATGACTTTGAAAGACATTTTGGCAGTTTTGTATAAAAATAAACATACTCTTAACATATTATCCAGCAGTTATCCTCCTTGGTATTTATCTAAAGGAATTGAAATCTCAGGTTCACACACAAAAAAATCTGCACACAGATGTTTATAACAGCTTTATTCATAATTGCCAAAACTTGGAAGCAATCAAGATGTCCTTTAGCAAGGGAATGGATAAACTGTGGTACATGCATACAATAGAATATTATTCAATACCAAAAAGAAATGAGCTATCAAGCCATGAAGAGACATAGAGGAACCTTAAATAATGAATCTTCTTTCACTATTACTAAGTGAAAGAAGCCAATCTGAAAAGCCTATATAGTATATGATTCCAACTATACACCATTCTGGAAAAGGCAAAACTATAGAGATGTAAAAAGATCAGCAGTTGCCAGGGGTTAGGGAAGAAGGGGATGAATAGGCAGAGCACAGAGGATTTTGAGGGTAGTGAAACTACTCTGTATGATGCCATAACAGTAGGTACATGTCATAATAAATTTATCCAAAGTCATATGATGTACAATACCAAGAGTGGACCCTAAGATAAACTATGGACTTGGGGTGACCATGATGTGTCAGCGTAGGTTCATCAGTTGCAAAAAATATTTACCACCCTGGTGAAAGATGTTTATAATAGGGGAGGCTATCCATGTATAGGGGCAGGGAGTATATAGGAAATCTCTGTATCTTCTGTTCATTATTGCTGTGAACCAAAAACTTGTGCTAAAACACAAAGTCTATTTTTTTTTAAACTACATAAAAGTAAATACACAGGCACATGTGCATAAACAGACACGCACACAGTCGAGTACAGGTAAAACAGGAAATTTGAACAAAACTGGTGGATCATACCTGTCTCAATATCTTGAGTTTGATGTTGCACTATTGTTTTGCAAAATGTTATTATTAGGGGAAAATTGAGTAAAGTGTACCTGGGATCTTTCTGTGCTATTCCCTACAACTGCATGGGAATCTGATTATCTCAAAATAAAAAAATTTTTTTTTTAAGTTACTACTAAATTTCCAAGGGCATGGGCTTCCTACCAAAGAATTGTATATTGTGAAATTAAATCATTCGAACTTAAAACAATTCAAACTTATAGCTGGGAGAACTTTAAATTATTCTGAGCCATGAGAAGACTGTGGCTATGCAGCCTGAGTCATGCAGCAGGCAGCTGTAACTTCTGCCTTTTTATCCTGTGAATAGTTAAAACCAAATGGCGCCAGAGATAAGACCCACTCAGATCACTACGCCTTTTCAGGGAGCAATAATCTTCCTTGGAATGTAGCAATATGTAACCAATCAAAGTGATGTAACTATGCATGGTCCCATATGGAAAATATAATCCTGCTAAAATTTCTCTGTCTCTGCCTATGTAAGTGATACCTTACGTCCTCCACTTTGGAATGCTGACCCCATTCATTTGGAGTTGGTGTCTTCCAGGTGGCTACCCTTAAGCTGTGTGCTCAAATAAACTCTATCCTTAAATATATTTTCTGAATCTCATTATTTAAGGTTAACAATGTGCTAACCTAAACAATTCACAGGATTTGTTTTTTATTCTCATTTTTTCCTAACCCAACCACCTGGTTCAAGGCACATAGATTAAGAAGGAAAATGGAAATGGGACTAATATCCCAGGCTTCACTGTCCCTCTTCGGGCCCTGGGGAGGAGACTCCCAAAAGTCTAGACATGTTCACCCACATCCTGTATGTGGTTTCTGGAAACGAAATGATCATGGCTTTTCCTGAACCATGGCTTAACTTTGTGAATCCACAACTCTCTCTTCCCCAGGAGATCCAAAAAGGTAGGGTAGGATGTAAAGGCTTCAATCTGTTTAAATGGATATGAGAGTCCCTGGCTCTCCTTAAAATAAGTAGCATGGATTTTGTCTCTCTGCCTTACTTCCTCACAAACATTCTGAATGAGAAAAGTTCAAACCATTATTTGTTCAAGTACTTAATCTACTTTGGGACACAAGTTTAATAAATTAAAATATTCTTCTATCTGTTCCCTTTGATCAGTGAACATAAAGTTATCCTTTGACTCATATTTAAAATGTTCAGTACTACAACACTGAACAATAGTATGGAGGAAAAAAAATGCCAATTTAAGTTTGAACTTGCTTCACCATTCCTATCCCAACCCCCATGATTAGAAAATCAAAAAGAACACTTTGAGAAATAACCTCAGTGGGGTCAAAAGCCAGAGTCTCCAGGATGTCTTGTTCTTAAGACAAATAGAAGGAGGTACAAATATAGGATTGCAGACTTGTTTACTTCATTTGTTCTCTATTTGTGTGCATGTGTGTTGGCAGTGCAATTGAGAATGCTTTCATTTTTGGTGGTGTACTAGAAGGCATTAAAAAACAAAATGAGAAGTGGGAATTGAACAATGTGAATACATGGACACAGGGAGGGGAGCATCACACTCCGGGGCCTGTTGGTGGGTGGGGGGCTAGGGGCGGGATAGCACTAGGAGAAATACCTAATGTAGGTGACCGGTTGACGGGTGCAGCAAACCGCCATGGCACATGTATACCTATGTAACAAAACTGCACATTCTGCACATGTACCCCAGAACTTAAAGTATAATAAAAATTAATTAATTGATTAATTAATTTTAAAAAACAAAATGAGTCCAGGCGCAGTGGCTCATGCGTGTAATCCCAGCACTTTGGGAGGCTGAGGTGGGAGAAATCACCTGAGGTCAGGAATTCAAGACCACCCTAGTCAACATGATGAAACCCCGTCTTTACTAAAAATACAAAAATTAGCCAGGCATAGTGGCGTGCACCTGTAATCCCAGCTACTTGAGAGGCTGAGGCAGGAGAATCACTTGAATCTGGGAGGTGGAGGTTGCAGTGACATTGCACTCCAGCCTGGGCGACAAGAGTGAAACTCTATCTCAAAAATAATAATAATAATAAATAACCAAAATGATATCGAAGTCACTAATAATTACAACATAATAGCTACTATAATGTAACAATGTGTCAAGTGTCTGCAGAAGGACCCACTGTTGTCTCACTATTCATTTGATCTCCATTTGGCACTGTTTCGTTGTTTGAATAAAGCTTTATGCTGCCAGGTTTTCCTACATATTTGTAAAACAAAGTTCTCAGCCATTCCAATAACCATGACTGTTACTTGACATTGCTTCATTCATGTATAGTACTATCAAGTTTGAGCCTACCCTCACTATGACTAGTTTGGCCCAACCATCTATCACAACAGAGGGTCTCAGGTGAAGTAAAATAAATGTTATAAATTCTTCCAAATTTATGGCACACTTTGAACAGTTTGAGACATACTAATTGAGAATTGCTAACTTTAACATTTTAAGTATAAAATAAGTGTTCAGTTCTTTTTGGTCAGCTTGGATTGCCTTTGGTTCTAGTTATAAATCATTTTCTTTCTTTCTTTCTTTCTTTCTTTCTTTTTTTCTTTCTTTCTTTCTTTTTCTTTCTTTCTTTCCTTCCTTCCTTCCTTCCCTCCTTCCTTCCTTCTTTCTTTCTTTCTCTTTCTTTCTTTCTCTCTTTCTCTTTCTCTCTCTCTCTCCCTCTGACTCTCTCTCTCTCTCTACCCCGCCCCTTTCTTTCCTACTGACAAGGTCTTGCTTTATTGCCCAGACTGGAGTGCAGTGGCATGATCAACACTCACTGCAGCCTCAATCTCCCAGGCTCAAGCGATCTTCCTGCCTCAGCCTTCTGAGTAGCTAGGACTACAGGAATGTGCCACCATGCGTGGCTTTTTAATAAAATTTTTGTTGAGACAGGGTCTCACTATGTTGCCCAGGCTTCTCTCGAACTCCTGAGCTCAAGCAGTCCTCCTACCTCAGCCTCCAAACGTGCTGGGATTACAGGCGTGAGCCACTGTGAATGGCCTACTTAGATGAATCTTACTGATAAAAGCCCATCCATGCATCCATATATTAATACTTATAAGGCATAGAAATACATACAACAGGACTACATACACACATACATATGTATATATATGACAGCTTCCCTGCACTCAAGAAGCTTGTGTTGTCTTTTAAAAAAATGAAATTTATAGGAAAAACTGTAACTCATCTTTGATTTATATAAAAATGTGTCATAAGATAATAAAAAAGAGAAATCCCATCCAACTGAGAAGGCATGGAAGAGAAAATGACAAAGTCCCAAGAATGTGAAATTTGGGAAGGTGATAGACAATTCTTTGACAAGTGGAAAATGTCCCTCTGAATTCTATAAGAGTGTAATCTCTGGAAGTAGTAATTTAATTGGGTAGTTGACCTGTGTATTTAGAATGTAACATTCCTTATTTTTTGCCTCTAGATACCGACTCATTGGTTCCTCGTCTGCCACATGCATCATCTCAGGCAACACTGTCATTTGGGATAATAAAACACCTGTTTGTGACAGTGAGTTGAAATATGCATTCCTATTTCTTTTACCGATACATTCTAATTTTTCTCTGGAATAATAAAAATCTTAACCGAATTCCTTCTGTGCAATCTGTACTTCACATGGCTGAAGACAGCCATAATGTTCTCAGATATTCCTATGGGGTTCCTGGCAACTCTTTCTTTAAGTTCTTTCTTATCCTGGGATGTGTCTTTTCTAATTCTAGGGGCCTAAATACGTAAAAGGCTTCAAACTTGATTTTACTTCAATAAACTTGAAATTATGTTGGTTCTACCACCTCCAGTATAATAATCATCCTGCTTGGCAAATCAGTAAAGATTTTAAAAATTGATACTCTTCAAGGTTAGCGAAGCTGTGGAAGAACCTGGACTCTCATGTACCACGAGATCAACACATCCTCTTGAAAGGCCCCATGCACTATAAACCTCAGAAGTGGGCATGTATTTTAACCTACTTCTTAGAATTTATACTTAGGAAATAATCACACACTTTTTAAAGCAGTTTGGTATAAACTTTTCATTGCAGCATTATTTATATTAGTTAAAATGTTAGAGTAACCTAAATATTTTAAACTATGGTTTGGAAATAATCTACTAGTAGGAAAAAGATGTGTTCAAATGACCATTACAAAGAATTCCCTAAGAAACATGAAATAGCTATGCAGAATGAAAATAAGTATATCCATACACTGGCATGGTATTCAGCCATAAAAAATGATAGCATAAAGAAGCACTTAATGACTAGAAAGAGATGTGTTTTATGTGGAAAAAGAATCAGATGAACGGCATATATGGCAAGATCTCATTTTATTAAAAAAAAATACACCTATGTAGTGAGGGCCAGGCTGAGGCTGAGAGAAATGCAGTGTATAACATCTTTGTCTTACTCTTCTCTTTGGATAACTTGGGGACTTCTTTACTTTTCTTCTTGGTATTTAAAAATGTTGTTACTTTTACTAGAAAGTTTACGAGCTTCAGAATCTAAATTTACAAATGACATTGGTCACACATTTATTGCTGTTTATCCACTTTAAGAAACAGTTTTGCTATTTTGTAAAACAAATTGGGAAACCTTCCATCTTATTTGAAATCTGTAATAAGATAACATGGAATTGGAATAGGAATTTTCTTGGAAATATTAAAAAAAATTAGTAAAATAGAAAAAACAAACAATATAATAATACACCTATACCTATATCTATATTTTTATCTCTGTTTCTAGTTCTGTAAACTCTCTATATCCAAATCCTGGTAAATGGCTGTAAGTCTTCTTGGAGAAGGCTAGGGGAAGATTTACAATACATGCTTTTGACTGCGTAGCATGGTGCTTCCTCAAGAGAATCCAGTCTCCCATCCGTTGGTGCTGCTCTGGGTCTATAAACTATTCAAGTCTAGGAATTGTTGATGAACAATGAACTTCTTTTGCAATAATTCAAGTCAGACTTCAATTCACTTGACCTAAATCTCTTATGCTTATACAAATCAAATAACACCTTAGTCGGCTATCCCTCTACTTCGGTTTTAGAGACTCCATGATCAATTAGCCCAATAACAATGTTCTCTTCAGTCAAATCATTCTGATTGCTGTTTCAGTTCTAATAGCCATTACAATTGTCTCTGGCAATTAAGTGCTGCCAATTGGACTCTGTCACCCTGAGCTCCTTTGGTCCCCAAGTGAATTCAGAGAACCCAGTTCAATGGCAACAGTTCCCACTGTCATTCCTGGCCTACAGAGAATGAGCCATCGCAGAGGATGCTGAAACTCCCCGTGTGAATGTTTTTCTCAAGCCTCCAGTAAAAGGTCTGTCTTCTGAACCCTCCACTCCTGCATGTGCCTCACCAGCTCTATCCAAGGATGTGACTTTCAGAGTGGAATGGCTGTTGCTTAACCTCTGCCTCTCAAATATCAGGCTAATTTCTCATGCTGTAACCCTAGTCCAGAACCGTACAGAGAAAGTAAGTCTGGAAAACTTAATTCCAAATTGGCCTGGTTGACACTGTACAAAACCACCAGATAATTATAATTTTATTTAACTCTTTGTCTTCTTTTCTTTCCTTCCCTCCTTCCCTTCTGCCTGCCTGCTTGCCTTCCTTCTTTGCTTGCTTCCTTCCTTTCTCCCTCCCTTCCTCCCTCCTTTCCTTCCTTCCTCCCTCCCTCCCTCCCTTCCTCCCTCCCTTCCTTCCTTCCTTCCTTCCTTCCTTCCTTCCTTCCTTCCTTCCCTCCTTCCCTCCTTCCCTCCTTTCCTTCTCCTTATTTTCTTTCTTCTTTACCACACGGCTAGGACCACCAGTATAACATTGAACATTGGTAGCAATAGATGTCATCCTTGTCTTGTTCCACATCTCAAAGGGAAGGATTAAAACATTTCACCATTAACCTGGTGTTTACAGTAGGCTTTTTGTAGGTAACCATTTTTGAATTAAGGACATTCTCATATACTCTTCATTATTAAAAATTTTTTGTCTTTGAAACATGTTGAAGTTTATCGAGCACTTTAGTTATATGTATCGATGTAATCATATCTGTTTCTCTTTTTTCTGTTAATGTAACAAACTGTTTTGAGTACATTTTTGAAAGGCAAATAATTTTGAATTTCAATTTTACATTCTTAAAATCAACTAAGTCAATACTTAATCATTTTTATATATAACAAATACCCTTTTATAATACATTTTATATGTTTCTATTAAAGTATAATTCATGTATCATAAAAGTTACCTTTTCAAATTACACAATTCAGTGGTATTTAGTATATTCATAAAGTTGTATATTACGGTCTGAATGTTTGAGTCCACCCCAAATCCATATGTTGAAATCTTTACCCCTAAGGTGATGACATTAGGGAGTGAGGCCTTTGGAAGGTGATGAGATCATGAGAGCAGAGCTGTCACGAATGGGATTAGCGTCCTAATAAAAGAGGCCCAGAAGAGCTCCTTTGCCCCTCCTGCCATGGGAAGAAATGCTGAATCTGCCAGAGAGGTTGGTCCTGAACTCCTTAGCCTCCACAACTATGAGAAATAAATTTTTGTTGTGTATGAGCTAACCAGTTTATAGTATTTTGTTATAACAGCCCAAATAGACTAAGACATTGGGCAACCAGCACCGCCAATTAATTCCGGAACACTTTCATCATCCCATTCCTGTTTTAGAGATTAGACTGTAATTTTCTTTCTTGTAATGTCCTCATAAGATTTTGATATCAAACTTATGACAGTCTTATAAAGCCAGCTGGTAGTGTTTCATATATTTGCTTCCTTGTAAGAGTTTATATAAAATTGGTATTATTTCTTCTTTAAATGTTTAAAAGAATTCACTGGAAAAGCCATATAGCCTGGAGTTTACTTTGTTGGGAGGTCTTTTTTTATTCCAACAATTTTCTTGTACCATGTAGACTTTTTGCTGAAGTATAACATATATATGTAGTAAAGTGCACACATCTTAATTATGCAGTTCAGTAGATATTTACAAATTAAATGCACCCATGTAAGTGGCACTCAGATTAAGATATAGAACATTATCAGCACCCCAGAAGCCTTCCTGATGCCCTTTCCCAGTTATCTTCCCAAAGTAACCGCTATTCTGATTTATAACACTAATAGTTTTGCTGCTTCCTAAATTTTATAAAGGAATCAAAAAATAGGTACTCTTCTGTGTCCGGCTTCTGCTCAGTGTTATATTTGGAAGTCACTTTTGTTGCTGCATGAAGGATGGTCAGTTTTTTTATTATTATATTGTATTTCACTGATGATCTTGAGTACCTTTTCATATGTTTGTGAAGGGCCTATTCCAAACTTTTGTCTGTTATTTACTGGTTTGTCTATGATTTTATTGTTTTGTAGAAGTTGTTTAAATATTCTCTTGTTTTCTAATAAATGTAACACAAATGTTGTCTTTCAGGCTATGGCTTTTCTTTTTCTTTTTCCCTTCTTAATGATGTCTTCTGTTGTAGTAAGTTCTACATTTTAATAATATTCAATTTATGGGTCTTTTTTTCCAGTTACTGCTTTTTCTATTCTACTTAGGCAATTGGGCCAGGTGAGGTGGCTCACGTCTATAATCCTAGCACTTTGGGAGGCCAAGGCAGGAGGATTGCTTGAAGCCAGGAGTTCGAGACCAGCCTGGGCAACAAAGCGAGACCCTGTCTCTACAAAAAATAAAATAAAATTAGCTGGGCTCAGTGGCACATGCCTGTAAGTCCCAGCTACTTGGGAGCCTGAGGTGGGAGGATCCCTTGAGCACAGGGGTTCAAGGCTTCAGTGGGTTATGATGGTACCACTGCACTCCAGTCCAGGTGACAGAGTGAGACCCTGTTTCTTATGGATAGGCAATTGATCTAATATCATTTATTAAATGTTGCACCATGGCCATAAGTCAGGTGACCTATATGTGGATGTCATTCCAGGGAGGTTCTGTTCCACTGGTTTATTTGCCATACATTGTGTTTTTGTTTGGTTTAGTTTTTTGCCATACTATAATGGCAAAAAAAACTGTAGCATTACATTAAGATTTTAATTACTATAGCATGACATTAATATTTGATATCTGGTGGCATATATCTTCTAACTATGTGCATCTTCAAGATTTACTTGGTGATTCTTGGCACTTTGCATTACCATATAAAATTTAGAATCAGCTTGTCAATTTCCACAAAAAGAATCCTACTTGAATTTGTATTGAGTTTCTATTGACTTAGTACATCAATTTGTAGACATTAACAAATTTAGTTTTGAAGTTTAAATTTATGAACATGATATATCCTCCCATTTTTGAAGTCTTCTTTAATTTCTTTTAAAAATATTTGTTAATTTACCTTATAGAAGTCATGTACATCTTTCATTATCTTTATTACTACATATTATTTTTAAAATTTTATTCTCTATTTACTTCTTAGATATGCACTGGTTTCACCTCAGCTCCAGCAATTTTATTAAATTTACTTTTAAATTGAATAGTTTTTCTGTATATCTTTTGAAGTTGCTGCATAATTATGTCATCTATGAATCTGACAAAGTTTTTAAATCTTTTCCTTTCTTATGTCTTTTGTTTATTTCATCTGCTTTATTGCATTGGCTAGAACCTCCAGTACAACATTGAATAGAAGAGATGATACAAGCCTTTTAATGGTTATCACAAATCATGATGTATGCTGTAGATTTTTGTATGATATCCTTTATTAGATTAAGGAAACTCCCCTTTACTTCTGATTGCTAAAAGATTTATCATGAATGTTCATTCTAATTGATCACTCTGCATGTATTGAGATTATCATGTTTCTTTTTCACTCTGTTAATGTAATATATTACATTGATTGATCTTTAAAGGGCAAACAAACTCTGAATTCCTAGAATCAACCTATGTTGCTTGTGATGTGTTATAGATGATTATCCTATCTATGAAATGTGTGTGAGTGTGTGTGTGGTGTGTGTGTGCAGGATTGCTCATATTTTTATTGTAACGTTGTAACATTGATTTAATATTTAAAATCAGTCAAGGTAAACCTCACTTTGATCATTGTATCATCCTTTGGAAATATTGCTGGATTCAGTTTCATAATATTTTGTTTAGAAAATTTGCATTTATGTTCTCAAGAGATCTTTGGTTATAATTTGGTTTTATTTTAATGTCCTTATCAGGTTTGGGCATCAAGATTATGTTGGGCTAGTAAAATGTGTTAAAAATTGTTTATTTTTTTCTAGTCTCCGGAATAATTTGTGTAACATTAATATTATTTTTCCTTATATGTTTGGAAGAATTCAGCAATGAAGCAATCTGGACCTGAGGGTTTGTTGTTGTTGTTGTTAGGTTTTAAATTAGTGATTCAATTTCTTTAATAGCTATAAAAGTATTATTTTATATCGTATTGAATTAGTTTGGGTAAGTTATATTTTTCAAGGAATTTACTCATTTTATTTAAATTTTCTAGGTTATTAGCATAATGCTATTTATTATATCCTCAGAAATCCTTTGGATGTCTGTAAATTCTGTAGTGGTACTCCTATGCTAATTAATTTCTGATATTGGTAATATCTTTTTGCTTCTTTTTCCTTAATTAGTTTTACTGGGGCTTTATCAAGTTTACTAAGCTTTTCATATAAACTACTTTTAACTTTCTTGTTTTTTCTTTAAAGTGTGACTATTTTCTCTTTTACTGATTTCTGCTTATTTTCTTCTACTTTCTTTAAGCTTTGTGTACTCCTCCACTCCTAAATTCTTGATATTGATTAGATAATTTGTTTTCAACCTTTATTTTTCTAATATATACATTTAACCTATACATTTTTCTCTAAAACTATTTTACTTCCCACAATCTTTATATTTTTATTATCATTGTACATAAAAGTTTTCTAATTTACCTTTTGATGTCTTCTTTGACCCATAGGCTATTTAGAAGGGCATTGCTTAATTTCTAAATATTTGGAGATCTTCTAGTTATCATTCTTTCATTAATTCAATCATTTGAGACATGGTTTATGGCCCAGAATATGGATGATTTTGGTAAAATGTTACATATGCACTTGAAAAGACTGTACAGTTATTTTGTTTCATTTTCTAGAAATGTCATTTAGGAAAATGTGGTTTAGAACAGACTTTTTTTCTCCCTCCACTTGTTCTCTCAGTTATGGAGAAGCATGTGTAAAATATCTGTATTAGTTTCCCAGGGCTGCTGTAACAAATTACCACAAACTTGGTGGCTTCAAAGAAGAGAAATTTACTCTCTCAACAGTTTGGAGGCCAGAAATCCAGTTAAGATGTCAATAGGATTGGTTCCATCTGCAAGCTGTTCTGTGCCTCTCTTCAGGCTTCCTTCCAGTGGCTGCTGGCAATCGTTGATGTTCCTTGGCTTGTAGATGCATCATTTCGTTTTCCGCCTCCATCTTCAAGTCGCCTTCTCCTCTGTGTGTGTCCTTTGCTCTTCTGGCTCCTGTAAAGACACTGGACATGGATTTAGAAGCCACCCTGGCAATCCAGAATGGTCTCAACTCAAGATCATTAATTTGATTGTATCTACAAAGACTCTCCAAACTGGGTCACATTCACAGGTTTCAGAGATTAGGTTAGGACACAGATATTTTTTAAGGAGGACAGTGGTTATTCAACCCATTACAATCCCCAACTATGACTATGAATTTGCCTGTCTTTCCTCTTTGTTCTAGCAATCTTTAAGCAATCTTTACTTTATGTATTTTAAACATGTTATTAAATGCATGTTTAAATAATTGCATTTGTTAAATTTTTTGTTTATTCTTTCTGCTGAATTGACTGTTTTATCATAATGAAATGTCTCTCTTTACCTCTCATAATACTTCTTGCCTTAAAATCTACTTTGTACATTAATATAGCTATATCAGCTTTCTTTCTTGTATTTATATTATATATATTTCAAATCTTTTACTTTCAGCCCTTCTTTGTCTTATATTTAAAGCTTGTCTGTTATAAACATCATATGGTAAAGTTTTGTTGTTTTATTCAGTCTTTCTTTGTTGTTCATTAGTGTTTGAAACATTTAAATTTAATAATAAAAAGTTAAAATTATAAATAAATAAATTTAATCTAGTTACTGATAAGTCTAACTCTTGGTTATTTGTTTTCTATTTGTTTCATGTGTTTGTGCCTTTATTCCTCATTTCTCACATTTTTGAATTCATCAAGTATTTTTATTATTCTATTTTCCCCAGTAGCTTTTAAGTTATATTTCATTTTTTATTCTTAAATCACTACTCTAGAGACAGACATCCTTGATTTACTATAGTCTACTAAAATTGTGCTTTTACCAGTCTCCAAACAACGCAAGTACCCAAACTATTAATATTTAATTCCATTTGTGTCCTCCTCCTCTTTTTGTATTGTTGCCATACGTTTTGTAAAAAGAAAAGCTTCAGCTGAATTAAATTTAAAAGAGTTTAATTGAGCAATGAACGATTCGCAAATCAGGCAGCCTTCCAAGCCAAAGTAAGCTCAGAGACTCCTGCCCAGCTGCGTGGTGGAAGAGGATTTACGGACAGAAAAAGGAAACTGACGTACAGAAAACAGAAGTGAGGTACAGAAACAGCCCGATTGGTTATAGCTCAGCGTTTGGCTTATTTGAAGACAGTTCAAACAGTTAGCCACATTTGATTGGCCAAAACTCGGTGATTGGCATAAGAGTAACCTACGGTCTGTTTACATCTTCACTCGTTATAATTCGCAGTTTACAGAGAAACCTTTAGGCTGAGCTTAAACTATGTAAGGCTTTAGGCTAAACTTGATTTAACAATTTACATATGTTATATATTTCAAAGACGTAATTGTTGTTGTTGTCTTTATAAAAATAATATCTATTTATATTTACACCGTAGTGAATTCTTAGAATTTTTATGTTGCCTCAGCATCCATTTAGAATATGTTTAGCTTTCTCATGCCAGAAGCAGGGCTTAGTCACCCTTAATGCCCTTTCTAGTTCTGTACCTCCTCCCAATTTTGCAACGTGGTCGAGCCAGATATCTGCTTTATACAACTGCCTCCTGGTGACCACCTCTCCATGGGACAGCTAGATAAAACCTACTTGACTAGCGTCCCTGCCCTCTGTGCCCTGCATGGACTTCGCAGTTATGCTGCCGTGACCACCTCTCAGTCGCAGCATGACTGCCTGGAACATGTGCCTGCTTTCTTTAAACTCACCAATTAGAACTCCCCATGGGAGATACCTTGGCTTGTAGATGCAAGATGCTGGGTCATACTCTGGTCCCCAATAAAGGCATTGGCCGATGGATCCCCTTCTCTCTCTCTCTCTACGTTCCTCGCACTGACCAACCTCTTTGTGATCTTCAGGCGTGCCATACCCCCAGCCCGTAATAAAATCTTTACTTCCATCTTGTGTTTCTTGTAATGACTGAAGAGGTTTTCTCTATCATAAAGATCCTAAATGAAAACATACCCGCATATGAGCTCTTTCTGGTGTGTTTCCTTCTTATTGCAATTCTATCAATCCTATATGAAACTATTTTCCTTCAGCCTGAAAAAGTCTCTTTGGCATTTTTGTATTGTAGATCTTCTGACAACAAATTCTTTAAACATTTTTCTAATTGTGGTTCCTTTGAAGGTTATTGTCTATGTTTCCTGCTGCTTTTATGGATTACACTTTAAAATAGATTTTTTACAATATTACTATGTTGTGTCTAGGTAAGTATTTCTTTGTATTGCTTGGGTTTATCTTGTTGCACAACTGGAGTGCAGTGGCGCGATCTCGGCTGACTGCAATCTCCACCTCCCAGATTCAAGGAATCTTCCCACCTCAGCCACCTCGGTAGCTGGGATTACAGGCCTGTGCCACTATTCCTGGCTAATTTTTGTATTTTTAGTAGAGACAGGGTTTCAACATGTTGGCCAGGCTGGTCTCAAACCCCTGACCTCAGGTGATCTGCCCACCTGGGCCACCCAAAGTGCTAAGATTACAGGCATGAGCCACCACGCCAGGCCTGTATAGCTTTTTGAATCTGTAATCTTGCATCAGTCTTGGAAATTTCTCAGTTATTACTTCTTCAAATGTTGTTTATGTCTATTATCTCCTCTCATGGCAGGACTTCACTTAAACATGCTAGGCTTTATTCTTCTATATCTTGGTCTGTATGTTTAACATGCATTTAAGGAGTTTTTGTGGACTAATATATGACCACTTTTACACAGATATCATGTTATTATATCAAACTTAGATTTGAGTAAATGAGTTGATAAGTTTTATACCTCTTGTGTGTTGTGAAATATTGAAATTACATTTGGAAGCATCTGTTACTTGAAAGTTCAATAGAGCTTATCTTTTTTTTTTTATTCTTACATGTTTGTTGGGTAATTCTAGCTTTCTAAATCTTTTTGAATGAATATTGGCAATTTATGTTTCCATTTATATCATTTAGATTTTCAAAATATTTAACCCCCAGTAGTCTACAGTTTTATAAATATTCTCATATTCATAAAAATGTTTAAATTCCTTTTCCTACTGTGTATATTTGTGTCTTCTCTCTTCCCTTATACTTTATCTTTTGGCAAAGGTTTTTATATTTTATTTTTCTAAAAAGGCTAACCTCAGTTATTAACAAAAATGCAAATTAAGAAAGCAAATGAAAAGAGTAGGAGAACACTGTATAAACTCTATAATACTATAATCAAAGGGCTATTTAAAATGAAAAGAATGTGGATGGAGTTAATAAATGCATGCAAATATTATAGGAAATCATATAAGTAAGAAAGGCAGGACACATCATATTATCCCCACCAAAATTACAACTTTGTAAAAATGTACCTACGTGTTAGCAAAGAATAAAAGCAAATAATGAATGTAAAAATAGTTACAGTTTAGTGACTCGTGAGATTTTTGTCATTCATTATTTAAATTGACTGTGCTCTTCCTTTCCCAGGAATTATTTGTGGGCTACCCCCCACCATCGCCAATGGAGATTTCACTAGCATCAGCAGAGAGTATTTTCACTATGGATCAGTGGTGACCTACCACTGCAATCTTGGAAGCAGAGGGAAAAAGGTGTTTGAGCTTGTGGGTGAGCCCTCCATATACTGCACCAGCAAAGATGATCAAGTGGGCATCTGGAGTGGCCCAGCCCCTCAGTGCATTATACCTAACAAATGCACGCCTCCAAATGTGGAAAATGGAATATTGGTATCTGACAACAGAAGCTTATTTTCCTTAAATGAAGTTGTGGAGTTTAGGTGTCAGCCTGGCTTTGGCATGAAAGGGCCCTCCCATGTGAAGTGCCAGGCCCTGAACAAATGGGAGCCAGAGTTACCAAGCTGCTCCAGGGGTGAGTCTGACTGAGGCCTAGAAGGGCCCTGCCAGTGACATGCATTGCTGTTGGATCAGGAGATTAGTATTTGTTCAGGGGGAGGGATTTGTGCTGAGCAGGGTCGAGAAGCAAATTTTCTAGGTAGTGAACATGAAATTCAGAAGGTGTGTGTACATGCAGATGTGCTGAAATGAAGAAGCAAAGCTAAACCTGGACAAGGAACGTGATGTTTCTTTGGAGTTCTTATAAGCAAATCTATTAATTACCTTTGAGTATAATAACTGCTGATAGAAAATGAGTGATTCTTCCAGCCAGGCACCATAATACAGGCTACATGTGAATTTTAATCCTTAAAACAAAGTTATTAGGTAGTTACCAGTTTTTCTAGGTTTGTCTGTTTTGTTTTGCTTGAGACAGGGTCTTGATCTGTCACTCAAGTTGGACTGCAGAGGTGAGATCATGGCTTACTGCAACCGCCACCTCCCTGGCTCAAGCAATTCTCCTGCCTGAGCCTCCCAAGCAGCTGGGACTACAGGTGCATGCTACCACACCTGGTTAAATTTTTTATATTTTTTTTATAGAGATCGAATCTCACCATGTTTCCCAGGCTTGTCTCGAACACCTGAGCTGAAGCAATCCACCCACCTGGGCCTCCCAAAGTGCTGAGATTATAGGCATGAGCCACTGTGCCTGGCCTCTATGTTTTGCAGAGAAAATGTGCCTTAGAGAAATCGGATAACTTTCTAAGATATTAACTTGCAGACTGAAGACTGAAACGCAAGTCCACCCGACTCCAGAGACTTGGCTTTGCTAGTCAGCATCCAGTCAGGAAATCAAAACTTACTCTAGATACTTTCAAGGAGGGAGGGATTTCATGCAGGCTGTATTAGACTCTTCTCACATTGTATAAAGAACTACCTGAGACTGGGTAATTTATAAAGAAAAGAGGTTTAATTAACTCTCAGTTCTGCAGGCTATACAGGAGGAATGACTGAAGACTCCTCAGGAAACTTACAATCATGGTGGAAGGCAAAGAGGAAGCATGTATATTTTCATATGGCTGGCAGGAGACAGCAACTAGGGAGGTGCTACACATTTTAAACAAGCAGATCTCAAGAGAACTATATCACAATACAGCACTAGGGTGATGGTGATAAACCATTAGAAACCACCCCCATGATCCAGTCACTTCCCACTAGGCTCCTCCTCCAACACTGGGAATTACAATTTGACATGAGATTTGGGTGGGGACACAGAGACAAACCATATCACAGCTAATAGGTCACAAAGATGTTAGAAGGGCAGGAAAATCAGGCAGCCTCCCTAGCAATAGGACGAAGGCAGAGTTACCAGAGATCAGGGAGCTGCTGTGGCTCCCAGTCTACACAGCACAGGAGCCTGGAGGGATGCTCAAGTGGCCAGCCCCTCCCACTGAGCAGGCAGCTCCCTGAAAGCTGCTAATGCTGCAGGAGCCACCACAGCTGCCAGAATGCAGCTGATATTGCTGGAGCCAAAGTCATTGGCATCGCTAGAATTGAAGCTGTAGCTGCTCACTGAAGTCATCTATACTGCCACTGCCTGAGCCACCTCTAGAAGTAGAACAGACTCTGCCATCATCCTGCTTTTTAATTTGGTATATATGCCTCCAACTGGAAGAACCTAACCAGAGCCCAGCTATCAAGGAAGACAAATGATTATAGTTTTAAGGTTTCCATTGCTAGCAGCCAAAAGACAGTGCAGAAGTGTGAGGCTAGGGGCCAACAGAAATTTAACCAGCACAGCACCTCAATATTACATCACCAGGCATTGATTAGTCAAGGGAAACACTGGGTGATGAGCCCTGAAAATGGACATTACAGCATCAGAGTATTTACAAACTCCCTAAAGAAGTCATTTTTCTAGTCCAATCCCCCATTTGATGCTTGAGAAAGCTGAAGTCCAGAAAAGGGAACTGATCTGCTCAAAGACAAACTGAAATTATTTTTTCCATTTTATAACAGTTTTATATAATTTAGTTGAGACCTAAATGTGTTCTGACTTCCTGAGTTCCGATCAACTATATTAAGAGAGAGCCAGCGCTGCCCTTACAATATGTTGTGTGAAATAGACACTCTCATTATGGTGACAGTAGGTCTTTTAGATTTTGTTCGACAGTTGCCCACCTTCTCACTGGAGTGAAATGAATGACTAGGCAGCACCTTGCTGCATAGCATGAAGGGAGGAGACCCATAGTTCTTTACCACCCTATGTCAGGTGGCCGCTGAGAGAAGACTTGAAAGGAGAAGAGAATAGATGTATGTTTGTTGCACCAGTGTGATAGGTGATGGAGGGACCTATTAGATGAGACATGGGCAGGGGCACTCCTTTATGGCCTAAAATGCAAGACGAAATTGGTGATGCCTTTCTAGAAAGGAAGCATGGAGATATAAAAATCCATCATCCCTCCCAATTTTGTACTGGGTGAACAGTAATTGGAAGCATTCTAGAAGGAACTGTCCATTGTGAAATCTTAGTTGCATACTTTAGATGTAAAACAATGAATTGGGGATACCTCTGTTTTAGTCACAGTTGTGCAATGTGTCAGTTCTATGAGTGATGGCAAGACATCTTCCTCGCCCTGTGTATTTAGTTTGTTATCAATGTAATAAGGCTGTTATTCTACCTTTTTTGTTACATATAGATTTGTAATTATTATTCCCTTGGCCAGTTTAACAGTGAGAGAAAAGTTATTTTCACACAATTAGCAGTACTTTGTTTCTCTCTCCCCAGTATGTCAGCCACCTCCAGATGTCCTGCATGCTGAGCGTACCCAAAGGGACAAGGACAACTTTTCACCCGGGCAGGAAGTGTTCTACAGCTGTGAGCCCGGCTACGACCTCAGAGGATCTACGTATTTGCACTGCACACCCCAGGGAGACTGGAGCCCTGCAGCCCCCAGATGTGAAGGTGACTAGACTCTTATCTGGCTTGGTATTTTTAGCTTGCGTCTTTATTCTCCACATGCCAGTTATTTCTGTTCGTTTTTCTTTTTTTCCAGTGAAATCCTGTGATGACTTCCTGGGCCAACTTCCTAATGGCCATGTGCTATTTCCACTTAATCTCCAGCTTGGAGCAAAAGTGGATTTTGTTTGTGATGAAGGGTGAGTATGAGCTTGCCTGACCTGCTGGACATTGAAATTGGGGTTAGGAATTAGTCCAAAAAGGGGAGATTTGATGTGGCTTAAAAAAAGACAGACAGACAGACACACACACACACACACACAATCAGAGAGATGAACTTTTGAAAGTATATATAGGAAGAAAGGAAAGACACATATGGAACTAATAACATGAGATATGAAGAGGACACTGGGCCATATATTAACTGGCAAATTCAAAGACAAGTATAATTACTTGTTATTAATATATAGGTAACACAGTAAGTTTAAAAAATCCTATTTTCAAAATTTTAGAATTTCAAAACAGCAAATAGAATATGAGTAATTTAAGAGTCTCAGAAAAAATTGCAAGTAACAAAAAACTTATTCTAAAGAGCTAGGATCATTTAAGAATCATTTCAGTAAATTCTTTAAACCATCAGTAATGAAATTTGTAATAGGACTGAAAGTGTAAAAATCAGCATTTTAAAAAAATCCAGTCATATATCGTCTGGCTAGTCATGGGCTCTGGGCTCTGAGCTGGGGTTCTGATGGCTGCTGTTAATATTTCCAGCAAGGTCATTACCTTGTTTATGTCCACCTAGTGCTCTTCACAGGGTGCACATCTCTACACGGGAGCTGACCAGCATGGGCAACAAAGCACCTGATCCCAAAATGTAACACAGAATCTTGGCAGGCTCCAAAAGCCAGCACCCAGTAAGAGTTAGGAGGGCATCGGGGCCCAACAGACATTGAGAATTTTCAACAATTGCGTACAAAAATTATGTCCTCTCTTCTTTCCTTTTTCCCCTAGAATATTCGTGCTTACTCTTCAGCAGCCCAAATTGCCCTTTTGAGCCTTCTTCACGCCATCACAGATGTGGAGATGAAAGGACAATCTCTGTTCTCTCGCCAGCTATTTCCCACTTTACCACTCCAAACTGGGAGCTGTTTTACTTGCTGTTCCAGGGTCAGAGTTACGAAGGCATTGCATTAGAAGACTGGGTTTCTAATAATGACAATGAGTAATCAGTGAAACTCCAAGCCTGGGTCCTGGGTCAAGGAGATGGTGGCTATTTTGTGACCACCTTTTTCAATTCAAGCAGGACTATCATGTGACCAAGCTACTGCATTTTGCCACTCTATATTGCTCCCTTCTGGAGGCTGTGATTTTTCCAGAATAACGTAGCCTGTGCAACTCTGCCACCTGCTGGCCTCAGGTCCTCAAAATCCTGAAATTGGGGCTGGGCCTTAGATTGTGAACTAAGTGTCCTCTTGGCTGAAACAGCTCGCTATTCACTCCTATTTTCTTCTTTAGATTTCAATTAAAAGGCAGCTCTGCTAGTTACTGTGTTTTGGCTGGAATGGAAAGCCTTTGGAATAGCAGTGTTCCAGTGTGTGAACGTAAGTAATAGGAGTAACATTTCAGGCCAATCTCTCCCCTTCATCTGTTCAGTATTTGACCCATGACCTCCCCTAATGTGGTTCTTCAATTTTCTAATCTGAATTATTGATTTGAAAATTTCTTATTTTAGTAATGTTTGGTTGTGAATCAATGTGTACATCACCTGTCTTTGGAACTATCTGATCTGTCTCTGTCATTTTGTATTCTATGTTCTATTGCGATAAATCCTATGGTCGTGTGCTTCTAGGTCAGGAGAGATTAGATAATGTGAAGCTTTTACAATTTGCTTTCTTTCTCTACTTCTTTTCTTTCTTCTCTTCTTTCCTTCCTTCAGTTCTTTTTTCCCTTCTTCTCTCCCTCTCTCCTTCCTTCTTTTTCATTTTGTTCTCCAATCAATGTGCAGTCAGTCTACAATTTGTGTATATATTTGATAATACTCAAGTATCAAACATGCCTTTATTTAATCAATTATTTATTGATCACATACTTTGTGCCTCTGTTCATCTAGATACTGGAGTTATAGCAATGAACAAGATGAGTGAAGTCCCTGTCCCCATGTTGTTTTTACTCAGGTAGGGAGAAGGACAAGGAAAAAAATAAGCAAATTAAATGCTACGGATAATAGATCAAAGCAATGAAGAATGAGGGAAAAGTGGGGAGTAACATTAGACAGGGTGAGCAGTTTGAGACTCCATAAATTCTCAAAATATGTACCTAAATAATTTATGCTGAGAGATTCATAAATAATAAGTCATTTTTTTAAAATGAGCCTCATATGTTCAATAATCAGTAGACTACTGATTTCTCCTAGTCTACCCATTTATAATTTCCCCAATAGAAGATAGAACTTTGCTTCATTTCTTGATTCTAATGATTGGAAAACATGTTTCTTTAGAAAACCATGAAATTTTACTAAAATGTTTATGTTCTTAGAAATGTACTTGGACATCTTACAGTGCTTTTTAGAGTAAAATTTTGGAAGAACATAACTTATATAGAGATGCTTGCTGTCTAAGAAATCCAGTGCTCCTTGAGGCAGCATGACAAATGTCTGTTCTACTATCATGCATGAAAGCTCATTGATTGGACTACTCAAGCTTTCTCTTATTTTTCATAACTCTGGTAGTTAAAATAACTTCTTCCAAATGCCAGTTCTAATGAAAAATGCCAATTAGAAATGAGGAAGAGACTATTATAAACAAATCAGTAGATGCTAGAAAGGAGTAACAACTTGAAACCTGACCCAGAAAGTAAAAAAAGAAAATAAATCATCAACAGACCTTGACATTTTCAAAAGCAAAGCAATCTGAATCCATTTGGAGTTTTTTATAATGGCCTGAATATGTTTCAATTCACTGTGGCAGGGCTATTGTTATCACTGAGACTGATGATCAATATCAGTAAGTAATCAGTGAAAGTTTTCACCTATTTAAGATGATTAGCACACATATATACATTTGAGAAATATTTCCCAAGAACGTAGGCCCCTTCCTCAGCACTGTGTCCCCAGGATCCTGATGAGTGGCTGACACAGGATAAGTGCTAAATTAAGAAAGATTGACTAAATGAATGAGTAACCCTTCAAAACGGTTATTTTTCTTCTTCAAATGTTTTGCTACTTCATTAAAGTTGTAAAGTAAGTAAACTTGCACTGGATCTTTCCCATGTCTGCAAAAGCTTCTTATTGAATTTTTTCAATTGTGGGATAAGAGAAACCTTTTTTCAAAAGCGTTCAGATAGGTGGATGTAAGAGTTTTTCTTGCAGGTCGTCTTTGATTATTGCTTGAAATGCTCACTTCATGAGAATGTTTCAAGGAATATTTGTAGAGAAAATCTTCATTCCTTATGGGAAAATAAATAATAAATGACTCTATATCAGGAAATAAAGATTGTGTAGGAAGACAAATTCTGTTTGAATAACTAGGTGGGAAGAAATCCTTTGAAAACTTTATTGGTAGTAAATAATGCCATAAATGACCTTTACATTTTGATAAGGGATGCAAGGTCTCTACACAGATCTAAATCTAGATCTAGATAGATCTGGAGGGAAGGTCTTTTTGAAAGTGGGGCTTAGTAGGTGGCTGATCCTGAGGCTCTCTGATGAGTTTTCTCAAGGTGCCAAAATCTGTGGAACTATCAGAACTGCGTGTTTTCTTCAGGAAGCTACATGCAGGTTGAGACCTTACGTACTGAAGAGAGTTCAGATTACTCTACCTGGCTCCAAAACATTTTCTTTCCCACAGGTAAATCATGTGAAACTCCTCCAGTTCCAGTGAATGGCATGGTGCATGTGATCACAGACATCCATGTTGGATCCAGAATCAACTATTCTTGTACTACAGGGTGAGTTGGCAGCAACATCTCTTGGTTCCAGAGTTCCAGCACAGCAATACTACCTTCTAGCCACATCTCAGGAAGGAAACTAGGCTGTTGCCACCTGCTCTTGAGAGGTTTGAACACAGGTATTAACTCCTGATTGAAATGAACAAAGATAGGAGAAGATTAGGGGAAAAATCTGTGTCCTTGCTGGAAACCAGGGCAGTGCACACATAAAGAGTATGCCGTTCACTGGATGGGAAGGAAAAAAAATTAGGAGTATAGTAGTCAAAGCACACAAACAACCCTAACCCAGAGTAGACATTGCTGGAAGAAAGGGAAGGGCATGTAGCAGCTGTGTGAGAGAACAAATCTTAATGATAACAGCATGATCGCTTGCTAGGGCTGCCATCAAAAAGTACAGGCCTTCCTCATTTTATTGTACTTCACAGATGTTATGCTTTTTACAAATTGAAGGCTTGTGGCAACGCTGCAACAAGCATGTCAGTTGGCATCATTTATCCAACAGTGTGTGTTGACTTCGTGTCTCTGTGTAGCATTTTGGTTATTCTCACAATATCCCAGAGGTTTTCATTATTATCATGTCTGTGATAGTGATCTGTCTTCAGTGATCTTTGATGTTACTATTTTCATTGTTTGGAGTCCCTACGAACTGCACCCATATAAGACAGAAAACTTAATAAATGTGCATGCTTTGACTGCTCCATGGACAAGACATTCCCCTTCTCTCTCCCTCTCTTCAGGACTCCCTAATCCCTGAACACAATAATACTAAAATGAGGCCAATTAATAGCCCTACAATGGCCTTTAAGTGTTGACATGAAGGGAGGAGTCATGCATCTCTTACTTTAAATCAAAAGCTGGAGATGATTAAGCTTAGTGAGGAAGATATGTTGAAAGCCAAGACAGGCCAAAAGTCAGGCCTCATGTGCCAAACAGCTAGCGAGTTGCAAAGGCAAAGCAAAAGTACTTGAAGGAAACTTAAAGTGCTATTCCAGTGAACACATGAATGATAAGAAGGTGAAACAGCCTTATTGCTGATATGGAAGAAGTTTTAGTGGTCTAGATACAAGATCAAACTAGACATATTTCCTTAAGCTAAAGCCTAATCCTGAGCAAGGCCCTAACTCTCTTCAATTCTGTGAAGGCTGACAGAGGTGAGGAAGCTGCAGAAAAAAAGCTGGAAGCAGCTGGGCACTGTGGCTCATGCCTGTAATTCCAGCACTTTGGGAGGCAGAGGCAGGTGGATCACCTGAGGTCAGGTGTTCAAGACCAGCCTGACCAATATGGTGAAACCTCATATCTACTGAAAATGCAAAAATTAACCAGGCGTTGTGGCGGGTTGCCTGTAGTTCCAGCTACTCGGGAGTCTGAGGCATGAGAATAACTTGAACCCGGGAAGCAGAAGTTGCCGAGATTGTGCCACTGCACTCCAGGTTGGGTGATTCCTGAGGTTTAAGGAAAGAAGTCATCTCCATAACATAAAGGTGCAAGGTGAAGCAACAAGTGCTGACATAGAAGCTGCAGCAAGTTGTCCTGATGATCTAACTAAGATCATTGATGAAGGTGTTAAAATAAATAGCAGATTCTCCATGTAGACAAAACAGCCATCTATTGGACCTTCATAGCTAGAGAGGAGAAGCCAATGCCTGGGTTCAAAGCTTCAAAGGATAGGCTGCCTTTTTAGGAGCTAATCTCGTTGGTGAGTTTGAGTTGAAGCCAATGCTCACTGACCATTCTAAAAGCCCTAGGGCCCTTAAGAATTATGCTAAATGTACCTTGCCTGTGTCTATAAATGGAACAACAAAGTCTGATGACAGAGGTATGTTTGCAGCATGGTTTACTGAATATTTTAGGCTCACTGTTGAGATATAGTGCTCAGAAAAACAGATTCCTTTCAAAATGTTACATACAGCTCATTGACTTTGTATCCAATCAGGCAAGAGCTCTGATGGAGATGGACAAGGAGATGCATGTAGTTTTCCTGCCTGCTGACAACAGCAGCCATTCTGCAGCCCATGGCTGAGCAGTAATTTTGACTTTGAAGTTTTAGTATTTAAGAAATATATTTTGTGCCAGGCATGGTGTAATCCCAGCATATTGGGAGACCAAGGTGGGCGGATCATGAGGTCAGGATTTCAAGACCAGCCTGGCCAACATAGTGAAACCCCGTCTCTATTAAAAATACAAAAATTGGCCAGCATGGCAGAATGTGCCTGTAGTCCCAACTACTCAGGAGGCTGAGGCAGGAGAATCACCTGAACCCAGGAGGTGAAAGTTCCAGTGAGCCGAGATTGCGTCACCGCACTCCAGGTTGGGCAATAGAGGGAGACTTCAACTCAAAAAAAAGAAAAAGAAAAGAAAAGGAAAAAAAAATACATTTTGTAAGGCTATAGTTCCCACAGACAGTAATTCCTCTGATGGATCTGAACAAAGTAAGTTGAAAACTGCAGGAAAGAATTAATCATTCTACATACTGTTAAGAACACTCATGATTCATGGGAAGAGGTTAAAATATCAACATTAACAGGAGTTTGGTAGAAGTTGATTCCGACCCTCATGGATGACTTTGAGAGGTTCAAGACTTCAGCGGAGGAAATAATTGCAGATGTGACAGAAGTAGCAAGAACACTACAATTAGAAGCAGAGCCTAAAGGTGTGACTGTATTGCTACAATATCATGATCAAACTTGAACAGAAGAGGAGTTACTTCTTATGGATGAGCAGAGAAAGTAGATTTTTGAGGTGGAGTCTCTTCCTGGTGAAGATGCCATGAGCATTGTTAAAATGACCACAAATTTAGAATATTACATAAACTAAGTTGATAAAGCAGCAGCAGTATCTGGGAGGATTGACTCCAATTTTGAAAGCAGTTCAGAGGGTAAAATGTTATCAAACAGCATTGCATGCTACAGCAAAATCTTTTGTGAAAGGAAGAGTCAATGTGGCCAGTTTTATTGTTGTCTTAGATTAAGAAATAGCCACAGCCACCCCAGCTTTCAGCAACCACCACCCTGATCAGTCAGCAGCCATCAACCTTGAGGCAAGACCCTCCACCAGCAAAAAGATTGTGACTTATTGAAGGTCAGATAATCTTTAGCATTTTTTACCAATAAACCATTTTTTAAAGTATGACCTTTTTTTCACATAATTCTATTTCACACTTAATAGACTATAGTATATTACAAACACAACTTTTAGACTCACTGAAAAATCAAAAAATTCATATGACTTGGTTTGTTGTGATATTTGTTTTATTGTGGTGTTCTGGAACTGAACCTGCAATATCTTTGAGGAATGTCTGTAACACAAAATGGGTGGCTTAATACAACAGAAGTTTTTGGAGTTCTGTTCTATAGACTGGAAGTCCAAAATCAAGGTGTTGGGAAGACCATGCTCCCTCTGAATCCTGTAGGGTAGGATCCTTCATTGCGTCTTCCAGCTTCTGGAGCCCCAGGCCTTCCTTGGAGTGTGGCAGCAGAACTCCAATTTCTTCTGTTGCTGTCCTCAGATGGCCATCTTCCCTCTGGGTCTGTGTCCTCATATGCTGTTCTCCTCTCTGTTCATGTCTGTGTCCAAAGTTTTCTCTTTTTATAAGGACACCGGGCATATTGGATTAGGGCCTACCTTAATGACCTCAGCTTAACTGGATTGCATCTGCAAAGATTGTATTTCCAAATAAGGTCACATCCACAGGGACTGGGGGTTAAGACTTCCCAACATATTTGGGGGAGACACAATTCAACCTATAACAGAGTCCCTTTGAAAATGTCAAGTGTCAGGTGCTCACAGCGCATGGTCCAGCTGTTGGTGCTCACCCTTGCTCAGCACACAGTGGAGGCTCTGCCTCAATCTCACTCTTCACGGGAACAGCTAAGCCAGGTAGTGAGTAGGGGCTATGTTTGTGCCACCGCAACAAACACAGAAAGGAAGCTTGTGGTGTCCAGCATATTTGCCAGCCTAGGCTTCAGAGACCATAGCACCTAGAATCTGACAAAATAAAATTGGAATAAATCCAAAGTCCTCTTTTCTTTTTTGAGCATTTTTAAAAATACAATTGATAAATTTCCTAACTGTTCCTTCCTCATCTTGCATTGTGGAATAAGTGCGAACCTCCCTGCGGCATGAGGCAGAAAACCATTGAGCTTATGACAAAAAACAGGAAATACATGTAAAAGAGACCAATTTTAAAAAATCAGGAGAAATTTTACAAAAGAGATTTACTGCCAGGAAACCAGGAAAACTTTCAGAACACTCTCCTTTTCCTATTTTTAACAAGACTCAGTTGTACAAATAATTCTGTGAAACTAGCCATGAAGTTTGCACACGAATGAATATATGTAGTCAGTGTGTTTATATATTTCATTTCATATATGTGTCATATATATGTGTGTGTGTATGTATATATATATATATATATATATATATATATAAAACACTGAATATTGCAGAAAATTAAAGCAAAGAGTAAGAAGAGTTAACCAAATTTTCCCTCAATGCAGTGGGAAAAGATGAAAAGGAGAAGATAGGTGGGCACAGTGGCTCACACCTGTAATCCCAACACTGAGAGGCCGAAGCAAGAGAATCACTTGACCCCAGGACCTCGAGACCAGCCTGGGCAATAAGGCAAAACCCCATCTCTACAAAAAAGTATAAAAATTAGCTGGGCGTGGTGGCGTGTGCCTGTAGTCACAGCTACACAGGAGACTGAGGTGAAAGGATCACCTCAGCCCGAGAGGCTGAGGCTTCAGTGAGCCGTGATGGCACCCCTGCACTCCAGCCTGGATGACAGAATGACACCTTGTCTAAAAAAAAAGAAAAAGAGAAGACGTATGTAAGACAGTGTCAGGATTCAAATTATGTATTAAAAAAATTCCAGAAGGGTAAGCAAATAAGCCCATACCTAGCCATCACTAGGGAAATTTCTGTGTTTCAGGGATAGAGAAAAAAACTCAGATTCCAGAAATAAAATGTGAAAATGTAATACCCGCAAAAGAAATAAATTTATTGACACCACATTGATTCTACACAACACTAAATTGTAGAAGATAGCACTTCTGTTGAGCCAAGCTAATATTCACATCTAGAGGCTCCAGATACACATTAAAGAATAAGCAAAGACACAAAAATTGTACCATTTAAGTATGTTTCCCAGGCAATTAATAAGCAAATTTTTAAAAAGGAGAATGATGAATTCCTAAAGAAATCTCAATGAGATAGAAAAGTGGTAAAAACAAACAACAACAACAAAAAACCATAAACACAAAAACTGGCAATGTAATCATAATTTAGTAATAATCTCTGTGAAGTCATAGAATATATCAATAGAAGTAGAAAATGTGAGAAAGCAGGAAAAGGTAGGCTAGACTTACAGAAAAGATGAGTAGACTGACTGTACAGAATTTGACTCTGAAATTGAGAAAATAGGTTTAAATATATGTATCAAGTGTATATATCTACAATATACATGCACACATATAAAATTAAATTCCTAATTGGAAAAAATATTAAGTTTAATTTCCAAATTATTAGAATAACTAAAACAGCTGAATCTATCTGTTCCATATAGTAAGGGGAGGGAAGGAAAAAGAATAGCAAGGAATGCATTTGTCTCTGTCATCGGAAATAAGCCCCATCATGTTTGGGTCAGGTCATTTTATTCATTGCTTTCTCCTCATCCTCATCATGGGACATCGTGAAATCATGAAAAAGGTAGTGAAAGAATTATGACAAGGCCGAGCACAGTGGCTCACGCCTGTAGTCCCAGCACTTTGGGAGGCCGAGGTGGGAGGGTCACCTCAGATCAGGAGTTCAAGACCAGTCTGGCCAAAGTGGTGAAACACCATCTCTACTAAAAATACAAAAATTAGCTGGGCATGTTGGTGCATGCCTGTAATCCCAGCCACTCAGGAGGATGAGTCAGGAGAATTGCTTGAACTCGGGAGGCAGAGGTTGCAGTGAGCAGATATTGCACCATTGCACTCCAGCCTGAGCGACAGAGCCAGACTCCGTCTAAAAAAACAAACAAACAAACAAAGCAAATCAAATATATAATTTATTTCAATCCATTTGGTTTAAACTTCTTGTCAAAAAACCAAGTCTACTAGACAGGATCAAAAGCAACAAATCTTGTATTTATAAAAAACATGCCTCAAGTTAAATGGCATAGTATTACACACACACACACACACACACACACACACACACATATTAAGGGAATACGCAAACAAAAAATGGCAGAAATAATATGGGAAAAGACAGAACTTAAGAAAGAAATTGTCAAGCAGGTCTACAAAATGATTGTTTTATTTTGGTGCCAGGTACAGTCCACAATGAAGTCAAGATATTAAGAAGTAAAGTGGACCAGGAGAAGTTAGAGCAGAAATATCTCTTTTCAATAGTGAGAGCAGAAAAAGAAGTAGAAAAGCTGGGAACAATAGGTAAAGTTTAGGCTAGGCCTTAGACTTCTCCTATATTGTAATCCCTCTGGTTTGCCACATATGCATGCTGTCAGGAAGTTGATGAGGTATGTACAGCACAATTATTTTCCATTTTTTGCCTTTAGGCACCGACTCATTGGTCACTCATCTGCTGAATGTATCCTCTCGGGCAATACTGCCCATTGGAGCATGAAGCCACCAATTTGTCAACGTGAGTTGAAATCTCTTTCCCCATTCACCCCACCATTTAACCCTAGAGTTGTCCTCCTAGAATTACAAAGAATGAATCTCATCCCTCTTGGAAATGGTATCCTTCTGATATTTGAAGAATCCAGTCATATCCTTAAAATGGCTCACAGCATTCCAAACTTCCACCTTCACCTAGAAATGCTTTTTTTCTTATCTTAAGGTGTAATTTATTTTAAACTAGTCTTGAGCTAATTTAAATAGCCCCCAATTTCATCCTCTGTTGGGTGAACACCTCCCAGTTTGAAGAGCATTTTCTTTGGTGAAGTCAACAAATACAAAGTCAGTGAAAGAAACCGCATATCCTCTCTGCAAGCTGTTAGTATCACATCAGATATTCAAGCCATGCAGCTCTTTCTTCCTTCTTATTCTTTGTCTAAACAGGATCATGCCATCTTCCCTGTGAGTTGTTTGGAAGATGAGCTTTCTACATTTTGGGGAGCAAAGAGGAATGAGCAATTGCAAGCTAATAAGGAATATAAAATGTGTATAATCCTGGGTTTAGTGATGGTGTGAGGAAATCAGCAATTTCAAACCCATCTGGTGGGAGAATAAGTGGGAACAAACTTTGTAGAAGGGCAATATACTGGCTGGGCACTGCCCTACAGTAGAGTAGGACACAGTATTCAGTTCTTCCAAGATCAGATGAAATTGGGTGCATTCAGGGTGGTATGGCTGTAGATCAGTATCCAGTTATTTGTATTACTTCTGAATCTGTAAGTATCATGTTTATTATATGTAATATTGTATATTTGTGTTTGCTTTGTCTTTATTAGTTCTGCCAGAGCTTTTGTTCTTATTATTTAATAAAGATGTTATACTGGGCCAGGTGTGGTGGCTCACACCTGTAATCCCAGCACTTTGGGAGTCCTAGGTGAGCAGATCGCTTGAGCCCAGGAGGTCGAGACCAGCCTGTACAACATGGTGAAACCCTGTCTCTACAAAAAATACAAAAATTAAATGGGCATACTGGCACACGCCTGTAGTCCCAACTATTCGGGAGACTGAGAGGTGGGAGGATTGCTTGAGCCAGAGAGGTCAAGGCTGCAATGAGCCATGATCGTGCCACTGCACTCCAGCCTGGGCAGCAGAGCAAGACCTTGTCTCAAAAAAAATGCTATGCTGTATGCTTTATTATATTAATATCCAATAGAATAAAGACACATGCCTTCTATATAGAGAGAACTAAATTAATAATGGTGAGATAACATAGTTAAATTCTCATTTAGCAGGAGAAATATAAATGTGTACTATAGGCCAGGCACAGTGGCTCACACCTGTAATTCCAGTACATTGGGAGGCCCAAGGTAGGTGGATCACTTGAGGTCAGGAGTTCAAGACCAGCCTGGCCAACATGGTGCTACCCCATCTCTACTAGAAATACAGAAGTTAGCTGAGCATGGTCGTGCATGTCTGTAATCCCAGCTACTTGGGAGGCTGCAGCAGGAGAATCATTTGAGGCCAGGAAAGGAAGGTTGCAGTGAGCCAAGATCATGATACTGCACTCCAGCCTGGGCAACAGAGACTCTGTCTCAAAAAAAAAAAAAAAGGAAAAAAATGCTCTATAATAATATATGGACACATTTAGCAAAGTAATGTTAACTACGAAGAGCACAACTCACAATATTATAAAATTGTAAGAATATATCTGTACATTAGTAAATATTAGATGAGAATGATATTGTGAATATTTACTTCCGGTAATTTGGGATTTCAGAAAAGCTATTAGCATAATTTACAATAAAGTATAATTTTAAGAAACCATGCCGGGCACGATGGCTCACGCCTGTAATCTCAGCATTTGGAAGGCAGAGGCAGGTGGATTGCTTGAGGCCAGGAGTTCAAGACCAGCATGGCCAACATGACCAAACCCCAACTCCACCAGAAATACAAAAATAAACCAGATACGGTGGTGCGTGCCTGTAATCCCAGCTACTCGGGAGGTTGAGGGGGGAGGATTGCTTGACCTGGGAAGTTGAGATTGCAGTGAGCCATGATCGTGCCACTGCACTCCAGCCTGGGCGACAGAGCAAGACTCTGTCCCAAGGTTTTGTTTTGGTGAACTTGCGGTCTCTTTTCCCAGGAATTCCTTGTGGGCTACCCCCCAACATCACCAATGGATATTTCATTAGCACCGACAGAGAGTATTTTCACTATGGATCAGTGGTGACCTACCACTGCAATCTTGGAAGCAGAGGGAGAAAGGTGTTTGAGCTCGTGGGTGAGCCCTCCATATACTGCACCAGCAAAGATGATCAAGTGGTCGTCTGGAGCGGCCCAGTCCCTCAGTGCATTATACCTAACAAATGCACACCTCCAAATGTGGAAAATGGAATATTGGTGTCTGACAACAGAAGCTTATTTTCCTTAAATGAAGTTGTGGAGTTTAGGTGTCAGCCTGGCTTTGTCATGAAAGGACCCCCCGCACCGTGTGCAATGCCAGGCCCTGAACAAATGGGAGCCGGAGCTACCAAGCTGCTCCAGGGGTGTGTTTGCCTGAGGCCTAGAAGGGCCCTGCAAGTGACATGCATTGCTGTTGGATCAGGAGATGAGTATTTGTTTAGGGGGAGGGATGTATGTTGAGGAGGGTGGGAAAGTAAGTTTTGGGGGAAGAAGCATGAAATTAAGAATCTGGGGTGTGCAAGCACTCATGCATATGTGTCTTCATTTTGAAAAGCAAGACCTTAATTAGCCAAGAAAACTGGTATTTTGGACTCACCTATTAATCAATTGTCAGGGCAAAGTACCAGCTGCAATCTCTCTCAATTATATTGAAAAATTATATGGACTTTATGGTCAGCTGTGCCCTAAGCACTTTGTATACATTATCTCATTTATTATTTAAAACAACACTGTCTTATTTAAGGGCTTGTGTTTTTGATGGCTCATCTTGTCTACTGATGCCACAATAGCTGGCTTAGCAGCGGAGTGGGAGGTGTTATGGCAGATACATAGGGACAGAGAAAGAGCTTACAATTCTTCTACCAACCCATGTTAGCCTTGTGCAACCACTGAGCTGGGAAGACAAACAGATAAAGGGATATAAAGACGGATGTACCGAGGCAGGAGATGGGCAGGGCTTGTGTTCTGGTCACAATCCTGCTGACCAAAACAGAATCTGGCCTAGACAGGATGAAGTGAAAAAACAGCAGCAACAGGCAGATGGCGATGAAAGCAATCACTAGCTGCCCTCATATTCCCATCAGCACTGTGACAGTTTACAAATGCCATGGCAACGATCTGGAAGTTACCACCCCTTTCCAGGAAAGTTCTAAATAACACGCCCCTCAATTTGCATTGATGTGCCCCTTAACTTACCTGTAATTGGCTGGGCATGGTGGCCCATGCCTGTAATCCCAGCACTTTGGGAGGCCAAGATGGGCAGATCACCTGAGGTCAGGAGTTCAAGACCAGCCTGGCCAACATGGTGAAACCCTGTCTTTACTAAAAATACAAAAATTATCTGAGTGAGGTGGCTCGCACCTGAAATCTCATGAGGCTGAGGCAGGAGAATCACTTGAACCTGGGACGCGGAGGTTGCAGTGAGCTAAGATCACACGACTGTGCTCCAGCCTGGATGACAGAGTGAGATATCACCTCAAAAAAAAAAAAACACAAAAAACAAGAAACAAAAATAATTTACATGTAATTGAAGCGGGCTTACAGGAGTATAAATACAGTTGCCTGCCAGGAGCTCATATGTTGCTGACTCTGGGCACATTGCCTGTGAGTTAGCCCTGCTCTGCAAAGGGCAATGCCTTTCTAAAAGATCGCTGTCTAGCACCACTGGCTCATCCGTGAATTCTGTCCTGAGTGAGGCAAGAACCCTTCCAGAGTAAGCCCCAATTTAGGGGCATGCCTGTCCCCAAACAGTATGACTGTACTTTAGTCATTGGTGTGCAATCAGAGAAATATGGGGAAATCTGTAAAACAGACTTGGTCTCAGGTGACAGTCTCATTACCTGAATAATGATGGTACAAATACCTCCCTAGGAAATATGTAGATGGAGAATCCACCAATACTAATAACTCCACACTGGATATCCAGAGCTAGGAGAAAATACTTCATGCCCTGTAGATTTACAGGTGAATTTTGGGCCATGTGCTAGGGAGAATTGTGTTCTATTTCTCTACCTTTTACTAACTATGAGGCCTTCAGCAGGCATAGGATATAGCAAAAGAAATTCCCCCATAACTAACAAGTACTCTGGAACTGTCCTTTCTACAATGTGTCAGCCGCCTCCAGAAATCCTGCATGGTGAGCATACCCTAAGCCATCAGGACAACTTTTTACCTGGGCAGGAAGTGTTCTACAGCTGTGAGCCCAGCTATGACCTCAGAGGGGCTGCGTCTCTGCACTGCATGCCCCAGGGAGACTGGACCCCTGAAGCCCCCAGATGTACAGGTGCCTCTCTTTCCCCCTCACATGGAAGTCTTACTCCTGTTGTTTTATTTTTTCTTCTCGTGAAATCCTGTGATGACTTCCTGGGCCAACTCCCTCATGGCCGTGTGCTGTTTCCACTTAATCTCCAGCTTGGGGCTAAGGTATCCTTTGTTTGTGATGAAGGGTGAGTGTGACCCAGTGTTGAGACCAAGGACTCAGTGTGGAGAATCACTGAGTTAATCCAATTAAGGAGCTGACCTAGTAGATAAGAAGTACCCAGAGAGATTAATTTATGGAAGGGTAGTTTTGAAATAAGCGTTAATCCAATTAAGGAGCTGACCTAGTAGATAAGAAGTACCCAGAGAGATTAATTTATGGAAGGGTAGTTTTGAAATAAGGGTAGGGACTAAGTGGCACCGCCTTCAGAAAACAATGAAAAAATGGCACATACAACTCAATATCAGATACAAACCTAAATACAGTCACTGATCTTGGGTACACAGTTGGAACTTGAAATGAATGGGTACGTATTTATTTGGAGGCAAAAGAACATAATTTTATAAAATGTGTGCTAGAAAAAAAAGATGAATGAGATGGAAATTGTTTGCCTCATAATAAGGCAAAGGTTGTTTTAGGAAACTTAAAACCAGTCAATAATGGAATCTGTAATAGTGTATGAATAACTATGTTTTAACCCAATTACATATCTTCATGTCAAGAATGGCCAGTGTAATTGTTTTGATGCAAGATTTTTCTCAGCCACTTTGCCAGCTGGTGACCTCTGGCCAGAAACATCCCTGTCCAGGCCTTGCTCTACCCAGGATCAATGCAGGAGACACCTCATCTACTTGGCCCACCCAGGCCGTGCCAGGCTTGTGCTCTGATGCAGAGCCCATGGCTGCCGCGACTACATGCTCAGCCTCTGGGAGGGGGTGTGTGAGTGAGCAAGTGGGGGTTCCAGCTGGCCGCGCCAAGCACTGGCACAGGAGCGGGCTCCGTGCAAGGCTTGTGGCTGGACCAGGCATGTCACACTGAAGGGAATGTGTTGGTGCCCAAACAGGGGTCCCCACGACCCCGAAGCCCAGAGGGGGTGTAACAGCATGGTAATAGCTCTTAGCATTTGATAATGCCTGCAGCCCAACAGATGGCGGTGTGTTAACAACTCTGTCAGTTCCATCGCCCCGCTCAGGCCTGCATCTCCAAGGCTGACTTGGCCTGCATCTCCAAGGCTGACTTGGCCTGCATCTCCAGGGCTGACTGGACCTGCTGGTGCTTCCTGTTGCATGGAATAACTTCCCTCCCCTAGGAGACGGCAAAGAGCCACTGTATTACAGCCTTCTTCATACCTGCGTTTGGTGGGTCCTGAGTTCTTGTCCCGCATCCAAGAAGAACAAGCTTATGCTGACAATAGAAGGGTGAGGAGGGTGGAGAAGAGTTTTATTGAGTGACAAAACAGCTTCTCAGCAGAGAAGAGACACAAGGGTGGACCCCAGATGAAGTCAGGGGGTCATTCTCTCAGTGTGGCTGGTTCTGGAGCCTTTATGGACTCAGAATTGGAAGTGTGTGTTAATTGGTTGGTGAGTATGCAAAAAAGGCTAAAACAAAGCCACCACTCAAAGGTGGGCACAACAGTGCAAAAAACCAATTAGGGAAGAGCAGGTATATGTGAAATAGATGAAGAGTGGGGATCAATCAGAGGAAAGCACACCCAACAGGAAGAGAGGTTCTCAAGCCAGTCCATGGATTTACCTGGAACTTGTAGCTAGGCTTTAAACTGTCTTCAGCTTGAAGGTCGGGTTTCACCGGGATCCGCCCCATCTGCCTGTGATTTGTCTGCCTCCTGCTTCTACCACTGTCAAGTGGTATTATTCGTTGCTTATGTGTATCCATTATTCTTGGTGATACAGTATGAGTCTGGGGGATAACTAGATTGAGCAATTAAGGAGTTATTTTTAATAATTTCCAAGGATTCTTTGGCATTTACAAAGTCCACCACCTAATAATGATTTCCAATTTCAGAACGATTTTAGATTTCAGAAGGGAAGCAGTACTCAATAGTAAGTTGAGCATTTCAGGGTGGCAAAGACTCCTCCCCTGACCCTTCTTTTTTTCTTAGAACACATGGTTCAGCATGCTTCTGTGAGCCTCTTTCTGGCCTGTTACATTTGGAGTGGCGAGAAGAACAGATATTCCTGGCTTTGCTTACCAAATCAAAAGCTGTTCTGCCTCATGACCCACTAATGAGAATAAGTGGGATGTCAGAGAGCCATCAATGAAAGATGACACCTGAAGGTTATGGCTCTTGTGCCCATGGAGAAGTCTGGTTCTGTGTTCATGCCTTCTGTAGGTGATGCTGGGCTATGAAGTTTATATGGCACTTCAGCTCTGATTGCTTTGCCAGTCACAGGGTACCATGGTTCTTTAGAATAAATTGGCCTTTGAGTTTCTGTCAGCTACTGAAGAATTCAGATCCCTAATGAACTAAGACTTTTAGCTAGACCTGAACCTAAGACCCAAATGATAGTCAAGGAGGAAATGGTAGTGAGGAAGCTGAGCATCTATTAGTGAAGAAATCAAGGGAGAGATGGGAATTGCTCACACATTTGCTACCACTTTTTTTTTTCTTTAGGTTCTGATTAAAAGGCAGGTCTGCTAGTCATTGTGTCTTGGCTGGAATGAAAGCCCTTTGGAATAGCAGTGTTCCAGTGTGTGAACGTGAGTAGAAAGAACTACGTAGTTTGGATAGCTCTCCTTATTTTTGTTTTCCAGTGTTTTACTGCACGGAATCACTTGTCTGGATCTTTACTTAACTAAATTACTGATTAAAATACTTCTCTGTTGGAAGAATTTCAAGAAGGGTCTTGTAGGACTTTTCTGACATTTGTTACTAATCTGTAAATCACTTAGTTTAATGACTGTTTAATTTTGTGGGGAATGTGTGGCAAGAAACTAAATGACATAAAAGTGCAGCACATTTTAGTCAGTCATTTATTTTTAATTTTCTTATAAGGAGTAATCTTTCTTACATTTTTTTTTTCTTTTTTGAGACAGTTACCCAGGACAGAATGCAGTGGTGCAATCACAGCTCACTGCAGTTTCAATGGCCTGGGCTGTAGTGACCCTCCCACTTCAGCCTCCCAGTAGTTGGGACTACAGGTGCATGCCACCACACCTGGCTAATTTTTTATATTTTGTAGAGATGGAGTCTTGCCATATTGCCCAGGCTGGTCTCAAACTCCTGGGCTCAAGCTATCCTCCCATCTTGGCCTCCAAAAGTGTTAGGATTACAAGTGTGAGCCACCGTACCCAGCCAAATTCTTATGTTCTTTTATCCCCTCACGTATCATAAACAATTTAGTCAGCTTGTTTTTTAGCCTGCAGTATTGAATGACATAGGGCTTCCCATGTGCTAGGACTTTCCATGTGTAGAAAATGCAATGAAGAGTAAAAGAATAGTGAAGCCACCTCCCTACTTTCCTGGAGTATATTTTCTTGTTGGGAAGAAGACTAAAAACAATAAAATAAGAAAACAAAATTCTAAAAATTATAATATATAAAATGGTAGTTAAATAGGGATGTTATGGAGAAAATAAAACAGAGTTATATGATAAATTAGTACAGTGTACAGTGGAAGGAGCCGGGATGACGAATCAGTGTCTGAAATGATGAGGTGTCCTAAATTTCCAAACCATCCGCTTAAATAAAATATCCCAAAATTCAGAAAGAATTCAGAAACTCAGATAAAAGTACATATTTGACATACTAAGACATTACTGATTTACCCTATTCTGTCTATTAAAGCAAGGCATGATTTTTTTAAACCTTTTTTTTCTTATTGGAAAATGTTTACTTTAATTTGCATTGTGTTAAAATAACTTACAGAAATCAATTTGGATATTTTATGGTGAGTATTATGGTGAAGAACATTCAATACCTGAGGAAACTCAAGTATCCAACAAACTCAACCCTTACAGAGACACATAGAGCTGAAAATAAATATATAAATAAACTTAGGAAAAACACAAGTAAAATTCAAGCATGAGAAGTTAATCATTGTTTGATGTACTAAGTCTTTTATGTACACATAATTCCGATAAACTTGGGTATCTCTTCCTAAATTCATATCAAATTAGAAGCATCAAGTGCTTTTAGGGAAGGAACTGTTCTAAACAGAAGAAAAGAAGGAAGAAATGATGGCTAATAATTTGGAAGAAAGAAAAAAAGCCTCTTTGGCACCATTTAATCTGTGTAAAAAGAGCCTTACCAATGTAGTCTGATGACACCACTGGAAATTTGGTATTGGTCCTGATGATAACAGTCTTGAATCACCAAGAAACATTTACATTGCTAAAGATGATAGTTCATGACTATTAAAGTTCATAGATTTCCTTGGAACTTATGGTCTCTGATGGCCAAAATTTTGTCTGTCTTGAACCTCATTGTCAACCCAGGAATCTTACTATGCCTGATTTAAAGTAGACAACCAAATGGGTGTTTGTAAAAAAATTAAAAAAAATTACTTTCCAAATTCATTATGAACGTAGCTACCTGGATGGTCCAAAAACACTGTCTTTGGGCTTTTGCAATAGACTGTAATTTAGGTCTCACAACAGTTAGTTGCCTCTCAACAAAAGCCTTACAGATTTAAATTCCATCCACCTTAGTTATAGTCTTTCTAAAAGAAAAAAAATTATATTCATAGCACTGTCGCAGGTCACTAATATTTCAGTCATCTTAAGTGAAACTCTAATAGAACTTAAAAGCTCTTGTTTTCTTTCTAGAAATCTTTTGTCCAAATCCTCCAGCTATCCTTAATGGGAGACACACAGGAACTCCCCTTGGAGATATTCCCTATGGAAAAGAAGTATCTTACACATGTGACCCCCACCCAGACAGAGGGATGACCTTCAACCTCATTGGGGAGAGCACCATCCGCCGCACAAGTGAACCTCATGGGAATGGGGTTTGGAGCAGCCCTGCCCCTCGCTGTGAACTTCCTGTTGGTGCTGGTCAGTATCCGCTTCCACATATCCTAAATGGGTTCAGAATATGTAGGTGAGAACCTTCATATTTCTATAGTGACAGTCATTTTTGCTTGTGAAAATGGCTTTGCTGTAACTGTCAGAGACAGAACTACCTCCCAAGTGAATGACAAATGGGTTCTAGATAGGCACACTGTCTCAATTATTGGTATTCTGATGGCCTTTGGGGTGAGGAGGGTGGGATGGTAAGGAGAGAAGAGGGTGGACAGTGAAGAGAATTGGTGAGGTCCAGATTTTGTAGAGAAATTTTTGAAAGTACTGAAAACAAATGCTAAAGAATGTACTCTTTTATTCTACCCCTACTATGAGTTGTCTTTATCCTGGAGAGATGGATGTGCTGCGCAAAAAGTACATGATGATGTAATTTACTTCAGAACTGATAACGCTATAAAAGTAATTTAAGAAATTCAGATGTAGGGATTTATACTTTTTATGTTGTTTCCAAGGGTTTGTTCAAGCCGCTGACTATATTTAGTTGGTCCTTCACCTCACCATTAACAAAGGGAACTCGGGAGGCCCTGGAGAAGCAGAGTCTGAGACTGTACTCTTAGCCTTCATAGCTCCTTCCTTTGATATATTACTCTGGCTTTAAACGACAGTACTTGACAACCGTAGATGCATTTGTGGCTGTGACTGCCCACACAAGCTCCATCCTCCAGTAAGGACAGAAGAGCATTGAATTATAAAAGGTGTTGACTTTTTAATGTGTTCTTTTGAGATGGAGTCTTGCACTGTCTCCCAGGCTGGAGTGTAATGGCACAAACTCGGCTCAATGCAACCCCCGCCTCCTGGGTTTGAGCAATTCTCCTGCCTCAGCTTCCCAAGTAGCTAGGATTACAGGCACCCACCACCACACCTGGCTAATTTTTGTATTTTTTAGTAGAGACAGGGATTCACAATGTTGGCCCGGCTGGTCTCTAACTCCTGACCTCAGGTAATCCACCTGCCTCGACTTTCCAAAGGTGTGGGATTACAGGCATGAGCCTGGTGCTGACTTTTTTGACCTGTTGGCTAATTGGACTTAGAACTTCTGTATGTTGAAAAAATGACTATAAATCATGCTGCTATAAAGACACATGCACACGTATGTTTATTGCGGCATTATTCACAATAGCAAAGACTTGGAACCAACCCAAATGTCCAACAATGATAGACTGGATTAAGAAAATGTGGCACATATACACCATGGAATACTATGCAGCCATAAAAAATGATGAGTTCATGTCCTTTGTAGGGACATGGATGAAATTGGAAAACATCATTCTCAGTAAACTATCACAAGAACAAAAAACCAAACACCGCATATTCTCACTCATAGGTGGGAATTGAACAATGAGATCACATGGACACAGGAAGGGGAATATCACACTCTGGGGACTGTGGTGGGGTCGGGGGAGGGGGGAGGGATAGCATCGGGAGATATACCTAATGCTAGATGACACGTTAGTGGGTGCAGCGCACCAGCATGGCACATGTATACATATGTAACTAACCTGCACAATGTGCACATGTACCCTAAAACTTAAAGTATAATTTAAAAAAAAAAAACATTAAAAAAAAAAAGAAAAATAAATAACACAGTAGATAGATGAGAAATATATGGGAAACACAGCAAAGGGTTAATAGTGTTATCTTACAGGTAGCAGTAGTGGTGGTTGTGATACTAGTTGTAAAAGTTAATATATAATGAATACTTAGTACCACTGTTAGATAGGCTGGACATGGTGGCTTATGTCTGTAATACCAGCACTTTGGGAGGCTAAAGTGAGACGATCACTTGAGCCCAGGAGTTCAAGTGCAGCCTGGGCAGTATAGCAAAACTCTGTCTCTACAAAAAATAAAAAAAATTAGCTGGGCGTGGTAGTGCATGCCTGTAGTCACAGCTTCTTGAGAGGCTCAGGTGGGAGAATCCCAAGCCTGGGAGGTCGAGGCTGCAGTGAGCTGAGATCACAACACTGCACCCCAGCCTGGACAACAAACAAGACTCTGTCTCAAACACACACACACACACACGCACACACACAAGATAGCTTCTAATTTAATTACACAACAACCTATGAGGAGGATAGTATTCTTATTGTCTCATTTTATAGGTGTAGAAACTGAGACACAGAGGGTTTAGGTAACTTGCACAAGACCACAGAATGGGGTAGCCTGGGTTCAGCCAAGCAATCTACTTATCTGTAGAGACTGTGCTCTTTAACAATAAATAAATGGTCAACGGACCTAAATATATAATTCAACAAGAGAGAATATTTAAGTACTGTCATAATGAAATGGAAAGCTATCAGGCAAGGTCCCAAACACCAGATAATGGGCAATTCTTAAGTTGGATGAAGGAGATACATACAAAGAATTAGAATGGGCCAAATAACTATTAACCAGCAGGTTCTTGGAACTCAGAGCTTAGTGTAAACTCCTCGTGAATTGGGCTGAACCACATAGGAACTCCTTTTGTCTCTCTGAACTAAGACTCAGACTAAAAGCAGTCCCCTTTGCCTTCTTGTTCCTAGTCTCTTTACCCTATCTAGTCTTGGCCTTTGACATCTTACTGCTTTGTAGTGAGAAGAGACAAAGAAAATTTCATGATCTTAGAGACTATCGAAACAGAAAAAATTAAACCCAGTATTTTTTCCCTAAGACTTGGGATAGATTGCTTAAGATACCAGTCCTAGGCCTTCCTAAAATGGAAGATGAGGAACTAACCTGGGGCGGTGGTCCAGGCTTGGAGTGACATGCCATAGAGGGTTTTGAGACAGAATAGCAATCCAAAGAGAAAAAGGAACCTTTGAGTACTAGCATCAGAGCAGGAAGAATATCTTGGGATACTCAGATCCCCTATCTCCCCATTTCAATGGCCCAGTTACATCAGAGGCCTGATTCATTTCAAAACCTTCCTCAGAGCAAGGGGTAATTGCCAGGTACCCTTTAAAGCCAGAATTAATACATATAACCCATATTTACGCTGTCTCAAGACTAATTAGCATGGTGTTGCATGCTAGACAAATAAGTTCAACTCCAGAAAACATGTAAAAACTAACAGAAGTTTCAACTTGAATATCTTAAGAGAGGCTTAAAGAAAAATTAAACTATGTGACACTCATTAAAATGTCCCCAAATCCTCTTTACCCATTTCCATTACCCAGTGTCCCATTCATTAAAGCAACTGCTTTCCTAGAGCCTAGCTTCTCTCAGTTCCACCCAGACTGTCTCTCAATAGTCTCCCCACCTTCTGGACCTTCTTAGTTCACAAGAAGTCTCCATGCCATTTCTAAGGTAAATGGAGTTTCTTCAGTTCTGCATAGTTCGATGCAACACAGCCTTGAAAGTTTCTGCAGGGAAATGCAGAAACTATCTTAGGATGCAAGATTTAGAGAAAGGGTGTAAATATCTTTCTACTTTGGCACATAAATATACAGAAACTGTTTAACCTCACTAGAACTAAAGAAATGCAAAAATAACAAAGTACCCTTTTTTTTTATTATACTTTAAGTTTTAGGATACATGTGCACATTGTGCAGGTTAGTTACATATGTATACATGTGCCATGCTGGTGTGCTGCAACCACTAACTCGTCATCTAGCATTAGGTATATCTCCCAATTCTATCCCTCCCCCCTCCCCCCACCCCACCACAGTCCCCAGAGTGTGATATTCCCCTTCCGTGTCCATGTGATCTCATTGTTCAATTCCCACCTATGAGTGAGAATATGCGGTGTTTGGTTTTTCGTTCTTGCGATAGTTTACTGAGAATGATGTTTTCCAATTTCATCCATGTCCCTACAAAGGACATGAACTCATCATTTTTTATGGCTGCATAGTATTCCATGGTGTATATGTGCCACATTTTCTTAATCCAGTCTATCATTGTTGGACATTTGGGTTGGTTCCAAGTCTTTGCTATTGTGAATAATGCCACAATAAACATACGTGTGCATGTGTCTTTATAGCAGCATGATTTATAGTCCTTTGGGTATATACCCAGTAATGGGATGGCTGGGTCAAATGGTATTTCCAGTTCTAGATCGCTGAGGAATCGCCACACTGACATCCACAATGGTTGAACTAGTTTACAGTCCCACCAACAGTGTAAAAGTGTTCCTATTTCTCCACATCCTCTCCAGCACCTGTTGTTTCCTGACTTTTTAATGATTGCCATTCTAACTGGTGTGAGATGGTATCTCATTGTGGTTTTGATTTGCATTTCTCTGATGGCCAGTGATGATGAGCATTTTTTCATGTGTTTTTTGGCTGCATAAATGTCTTCTTTTGAGAAGTGTCTGTTCATGTCCTTCACCCACTTTTTGATGGGGTTGTTTGTTTTTTTCTTGTAAATTTGTTTGAGTTCATTGTAGATTCTGGATATTAGCCCTTTGTCAGATGAGTAGGTTGCGAAAATTTTCTCCCATTTTGTAGGTTGCCTGTTCACTCTGATGGTAGTTTCTTTTGCTGTGCAGAAGCTCTTTAGTTTAATTAGATCCCATTTGTCAATTTTGTCTTTTGTTGCCGTTGCTTTTGGTGTTTTAGACATGAAGTCCTTGCCTATGCCTATGTCCTGAATGGTAATGCCTAGGTTTTCTTCTAGGGTTTTTATGGTTTTAGGTCTAATGTTTAAGTCTTTAATCCACCTTGAATTGATTTTTGTATAAGGTGTGAGGAAGGGATCCAGTTTCAGCTTTCTACATATGGCTAGCCAGTTTTCCCAGCACCATTTATTAAATAGGGAATCCTTTCCCCATTGCTTGTTTTTGTCAGGTTTGTCAAAGATCAGATAGTTGTAGATATGCGGCGTTATTTCTGAGGGCTCTGTTCTGTTCCATTGATCTATATCTCTGTTTTGGTACCAGTACCATGCTGTTTTGGTTACTGTAGCCTTGTAGTATAGTTTGAAGTCAGGTAGTGTGATAAAGTACCCTTTTTTTAAATTGTCCATTAAATTAACGACAAACAGGTTTTTATGTGAACACCCAATAAAAAGTAAGGATGTAATGTAACGAATATTGTTGTATATTGAAGGTACTATTGTAAATTGGCAAAATCTCTTATGAAAAACAATTATGCAATGTGTGTGGACAATAATACAAATATTCTGCCAGTTAGCCTCCTAGAACTGCAACCTAAGAAAATAGTGTAAAATATAAAATAGTTTATGCATTTTATTAAGGGTTTCATGAGAAAGAAAACTAGAAATAAATGCACAATAGAAGTCATTGAATATACTATGATGCATCTACTAGATTATATTAGTTTGCCTTTGTTGTAACTTATATTTCTAGTATATAAATATGTGAAAACATACCAGAAGAGAATGTATCAAAACACATTTTGGGTACTAGGATTTGGGGTGATATTTTTCTTTAGTTCTGTATTATAAGTTTTCTTCTGTAATTGTATTACTTTTACGAGAAAAATATTAATTTTTAAAGTCTTCTTGGCAGTGGCTCGCGCCTGTATTCCCAGCACTTTGGGAGGCTGAGGCGGGCAGATCACGAGGTCAGGAGATTGAGACCATCCTGGCCAACATGGTGAAACCCCGTCTCTACTAAAAACACAAAAATTAGCTGGGTGTGGTAGCACGTGCCTGTTTTCCCAGCTACACAGGAGGCTGAGGCACGAGAATCCCTTGAACCCAGGAGGCAGAGGTCGCAGTGAGGTTGCACCACTGCACTCCAGCCTGGCGACAGAGTGAGACTTTGTCAAAAAAAAAAAAAAAAAATCTTCTCTGAGTGCAGAAGGTAAAATGAGAGTATATGAGTGAAATCAATGGCTTTTTATAAAAAATATTAGTCTGAGTCCTGAATAAAAATCAGGATAAATTGTCACTGGCTGAGAAGTCCTGTTCAATCATGTTGCATGCCAGAGTGATGTTTTTGTGACTTTTGTCTTCCTTTTAGGTTCACATGATGCTCTTATAGTTGGTAAGTTTTATGAAGTGTTTGCTGAGGAATTCTGTCATCTTTAACAGTAAGTACCTACTTATAATGAATGCAATGTAGAAAGAGAGATCAAAATATCTTGAGTTATAAATTCAAATAGAAAGAAAATTATGATGAGTTTAGGCCAGGATATGGTGAAACTGGCATCGTCATATGCCAGGTTATTGAGTAACCTTCCTCAAAAGTTCTTTACTATCTTTGAACCACTACAAATGCATAATCGTTCAACAGTGTCAAAAAGTATTTATTTGAATGTGGTGGGAGAATGAAACTTCTTCTTTGGGTTATAACCTGGAGTATGCTTCCAGATGGTGATTGTGCCCATTTGTACAAATAGAAAGCTACAAGACCAGTCTTCCGAGCCCATGTCTGTGATCTGCCTATGTAAGAAGAATAGTTTTGTAATAGAGTTTGCTTCCAAGGGAATCTCTATGGCATAGTATTCTTACATCCCTTTTTATACATCTGGACACTGAGACACGGAGGGTTTAGGTAACTTGCCCAAGACCACAGAATGGGGTAGCCTGGGTCTAAGCAGGCAATCTACCTATCAGTGGAGACTGTGCACTTTAACAATCAATAAATGGACAAAAGGACGTAAATATATAATTCAACAAGAGAGAAAATTCCAGTATTGTCACAGTGAAATGCCTGTGTGTTAAGCCTTAGGCGAGAGACATGGGCAGGGCCATGGAGAGCCAGTGGCCAGCTGTCCCATCGCACTTCTCACTTACTTGTGGAAAGGCTGATGGTGGACTAAAGGTTACAAAAGAGGTCAGCTCACCCCTTAACTATAATAACCCTGTGGGAGTGAGACTAATGCTATAGAAACCCAGAGTAAAGCAGAATGTATAGTTACATCTTTTAAAAAAAAAAGCATTGGCAATCTGTAGTGGGACTGGATACTAAGATAGAATTTAAAACCTGTGAGTTATATTTTCCACGCATTTAATTACCTTGTTTTACTGCCTAGGCACTTTACTTGGTACGATCATCTTTATTTTAATCATCATTTTCCTCTATTGGATAATTTTCAAGCACAGAAAAAGGTAAGTATAGCCATATTATCCCAAGAAATGTAAACTGTACTTACCCCCTCTTGGAAGTCAAAAGAAAGTAAAAGACAAACAAACCCATTGCTACATAAACAGATGTGGTAATTCTTATAAAGAAGGTCCTTGACACACAGTATAGACAAAGAGGTATTCACACTAAAGGAAGTATATAGGATACTAAGAACAATTAAAAAATAATAATAATAACAAAAAACCAGCATTTTGGCCAGGTACAGTGACTCATGCCTGTAAATTCAGCACTTTGGGAGGCCAAGGTGGGCAGATTACTAGAGGCCAGGAGTTCGAGACCAGCCTGGGCAACATGGTAAAACCCCGTCTCTACTAAACATACAAAAAATTAGCCGGGCGAGGTGGCACACGCCTGTAATGTCAGCTGCTTGGGAGGCTGAAGCACAAGAATTGCTTGAACCCAGGAGGCAGAGGTTGTAGTAAGCTGAGATTGAGCTGTTGCACTCCAGCCTGGGCGACAGAGTGAGACTACATCTCAAAACACACACACACACGCACACACACACAAACACATAGCATTTTAAGCAAGAATTGAGTTTTACAGAAAGAGAAAGTAGGCAGAAGGGGTTTTTAAAAAGTTGTTCATGAGGCTGTTTGATATCCTAGTTTTGCTAAGACATTGCAGATACTGACCTCTAAGCCCAGATCCTATCATAGCACTAGAAGTTAGATTGGGTCACTTATGGCACACATAGGCTGCCAGTGGGGAAGAACTGAGACTTTCCATTGGGTATTTTAATATATGAACAAATATTTTGTAATTACAATTAACTTTTTTTTTTTTTGAGACAGAGTCTTGCTCTGTCACCCAGCCTAGAGTGCAGTGGTGCGATCTTGGCTCAATGAAACCTCTGCCTCCCGGGTTCAAGGGATTCTCCTGCCTCAGCCTCCCGAGTAGCTGGGACTACAGGCCTGTGCCACTACGCCAGGTTAATTTTTGTATTTTTAGTAGAGACAGTTTTGCCATGTTGGCCAGGCTGGTCTCAAACTCCTGGCCTCAAGTGATCCACCCGCCTTGGCCTCCCAAAGTGCTGGGATTGCAGGCATGAGCCACCATGCCAGGCTACCATTAACTTTTTACACTTGAAAAAAAATTCCAAAAATTAAGATCTGAGTAAAGAAATGTCTTTGACAGGGAAGAGAACATACGCAGCTTTTGTACTGGTTGACTGAAATATAACAACATCAATGAGGCCAGAATCAATAATATCAATGTTATAAGGTTGATGAGCAAATTCTATATCCATAAAAAACTGAGGGCCAGGCTCGGTGGCTCACGCCTGTAATCCCAGCATTTTGGGAAGCTGAGGTGGGCAGATCATGAGGTCAGAAGTTCGAGACCAGCCTGGCCAACACAGTGAAACCCCCATCTCTACTAAAAATACAAAAAGTTAGCTGGGCATGGTGGCGTGTGCCTGTAGTCCCAGCTACTCGGGAGGCTGAAGCAGGAGAATCGCTTGAACCTAGAAGGCGGAGGTTGTGGTGAGCTGAGATCGCAACACTGCACTCCAGTCTGGGCAACAGAGCAGACTCTGTCTAAAAAATAAAAATAAAAAAACTGAATTTGCAACTTTTAAGTGAACAGTTTTCTACAGGAAATATTCTAAACAAGTACAGTTTCCTACAATGAGCTTTACAGCAATCGAAGTTTTCGTATTTCACAGAGATTTCAATACACTTTTTAAAAAGTAGTTTGTCATAGTAGATCTTGCTGTAAACAACCTAGTCAGGAACTCAATTTCATGGGAAAATAGTGAATTGGTTGACATTTAAATTTAAATCATTATCCTTCCTAACTAATGTTCTCTATATCGTATGGCTTGACATATAGATGTTCTTTGCTCTTTTCTATTACAAAAAGAAAAGATAAGTAGCTGGGCACTTTACCTTAACAAAGTACTTGTGTCAATACATTTTTCTCTTAAAGTTTCTTGTTAGGTACCACTATAATTTGTGAGTTATTTTTATTTTTTTTTTGAGACGAGTCTCGCTCTGTCATCCAGGCTGGAGTGCAGTGGTGCATCTCGGCTCACTGCAAGCTCCGCCTCCCGGGTTCACGCCATTCTCCTGCCTCAGCCTCCCACACAGCTGGGACTACAGGCGCCCGCCACCACACCTGGCTAATTTTTTGTATTTTTTTAGTAGAGACGGGGTTTCACCGTGTTAGCCAGGATGGTCTGATCTCCTGACCTTGTGATCCACCCGCCTCGGCCTCCCAAAGTGCTGGGATTACAGGCGTGAGCCACCGTGCCCAGCCTATGACTTAATTTTTTTTTTTTAATTTACTAAGTCTGAATTAAAGAAGTTGGGGCTTCTAATTTTCTGTATCTATACCAGTCTCTCGTTGAAACTACACAAGGGAAATGATTATCTCTTCCTTTTGAAAATATTCAAGATACTTTAATATGTTGAAGATATTTGAGTATCTCCACCCTTCTAACTATGTCATTCTTCATTCCTTATGGCACATTCCTTGTTAATCAACTAGAGGGTCAGATTCCCAAGCCTAACTATTGATTTGTTTCACCTACATAATTTAAGATCATTTCCTCATATTAATCATCTTCAGGCATAAACATGACTCAATAACCATTTCATAAAATTATTTCTTTAGAAATGATTATCTTGTATAGTTTAAGCAACCTCAGAGCATATACCATTTCTTCACATTTTCCATCTCGTAAAACCTGCCTACTTTTTCATATTCTTTTAAAGTGTAATGTCCATGGCACAACCATTCTCTCTCTGACCAGTGGCTACCAGAAATGTGGCAGAAAGAAAGATCATGATCCTCGTTAGACTTAAAGGTCAGGGAGGTAAACCTCCCAAACATCTATGTAACCCACACTAAAACCTATTCTATATGTGTAATCCAGGAAAATTTTTAAACATTTTCTAAACTTTTATTTTTGACCTGTTTCACTTCTTGGGATTGTAACTGTCTGACGTGTTCTTCCTGCCTGTCATACAGACAAAACCAATTCCCTGAGATCATGGTATATTGCAGTAAAGAAAGAGATGAATTAACACAAGGCCAGTCACGTGGAAGAACTGGAGTTATCACTCAACTCAGTCTCCCCAAGAACACAGGGGCTAGGGTTTTTATAGATCATTTGGTAGGAAGGGAGCTAGGGAATGGGTACTACTGATTGGTTGGGGATGGGGGTGTGGGAAATGTTCCTCATGTGCTGTGTCCACCTCTGGTTGGGGGCCACAGGACCAGTTGAGTCATGAGTCACAGGTCCAGGTAGAGTCAGTCAGTTGCCAAATGCAAAAATCTGAAAAACATCTCAGAAGACCAATCTTACATTCTACAATAGTGATGTTACCTATAGGAGCAATTAGGGAAGTCACAAATCTTGTGACCTCTGGCCACCTGACTCCTGAGCAGTAATGAATTATAAGAACTATGCCTATATTTTAGCAGAGTTCAGGTCCCTCTCCTAATCCTAATCTTTTGGCCTTTCATTAGCTTTCAGGCCCTGAGCAAGGAGGGAGCTAGTTTTAGGAAGAGACTGTTATTATCCTTGCTCCAAAGTTAAATTATAAACTAAATTCCTTTCATGGTTAGCTTGGCCTACACCCAGGAATGAGCAAAGCCGGCCCACCTGTGAGGCTGGAAGCAAGATGAAGTCAGTCACGTTAGATTTCTTTCACTCTCAGAATCTTTGCAAAGGTGGTTTCAGGATAGTGAGTGCATTTCTCTAACAAAACACCATTGATTTTCATGTTAGAAATAACATATAGCTAAAATTGGAAAAAAGAAGTAATAAACTTAAATAATCAGAAGGCAGAGGTCCCTTCTTTTGGAAGGAGTTGGGCTAATTAATCATGCAGTCATACCTCCTTGAGTGGGTGTGGCCAATAAGCTAAGTCATTGTGGCTATGTGAGGAGGGCCAATTATTCCTTATCTGGAGCTCAAGCTTTCCTCACAGAAAGAGAAGGGCATAAAGGGCCTCATGGCAAAGAAGAAGGAAGTCATGTGGGAAACACAGAATATGAGTGGAGAGTATCGTAGTGGTCATCAAGTAAGAAGAGCCGTTTATCCTGGAGCTAAAAAAGACTGACAGATATAGAATAGTGTAGAACAAGATGGCCTGCTCTATGGGAGAGCCGCAATCACACCAGGACTAGACAGTAGCAGGCTGATGTATATCTCAAACACTGGAGACAATTCAGAAACTGCATAAGCAGTCTGAAGACTTACTAAGAAACTAAAATGAGGCTGGGCGCGGTGGCTCAGGCCTGTAATCCCTGCATTTAGGGAGGCCTAGGCGGGTGGACCACCTGAGGTCCGGAGTTGGAGACCAGCCTGGACTACATGATAAAACCCCATCTCTACTAAAAATACAAAAAATTAGCCAGGCATGGTGGCGGGCACATGTAATCCCAGCTCCTCAGGAGGCTGAGGCAGGAGAATCACATGAACCAGGGAGGCGGGGTTGCAGTGAGCCAAGATCGTGCCACTGCATTCCAGCCTGGACAACAAAAGCAAAATTCCCTCTCAAAAAAAAAAAAAAAAAAAAGAAAGAAAGAAAGAAAGAAAAAAGAAACTAAAATAAGACAGAAATAGAAGTAATTCACACACAGAAATCATCTCACCTTCTTTAAAATGCTCCTCAAGGAGGCCTACTTTAACGATCCTAGTAAAGATGGTATGACTCGTATGACCCCCACCCCCACATTCCCAATCTTTCTTATCCTGCTTTATTTTTTTGTATACTTATCGTTTATTATAATTAATTAAATAATTAAGTTTCTTGTTTATTGTCTCTCTCCCTCCATGAAGTCGGGGATTTTTGTCCTGTCTTCACCAATGGATACATAACAAATCTAAACTGTCCCCGGAACAAAGAGAGTCTCAATAAATACTTATCAAATGAATGAGTGAGCTAAACACTACTAAGAGTGTTACCACAAGGGGAAATTTCTGCTCTAATTAATTCTCTACCAAGTTAAACAGTGCATCTTTAACTTGTCCTAAGCTTACTCCAGGTTTCAAGGCTGCTCCTTGTACTAATATACCAACTGTCTCAGTCTGTTGGTATAGATACTTGGGCAGTTATAACAGAAACTCCATAGACTGGGTGGATTCAATAAGCATTTAAGCTGGGTGCAGTGGTACTCACCTATAGTCCCAGCTACTCGGGAGGCTGAGGGAGGAGTACTGCTTGAGCCCATGAGTATAAGGCCAGCCTGGGCAATATGGCAAGACCCCGTCCCTAAAAAACATTATTTCATTTCTAAAAACCAAGCATTTATTTCTCATAGTTCTGGTGGGTAGAGCGTCCAAGAT